>NC_000001.11:236032606-236184121 GCF_000001405.40 Homo sapiens
ACAAAGATCCTTCCTTTCACCTTGCCATTGACTCGCTGGGGGGAACCTGAGCAAGAAAACAAAGAAAGAATATAGAGATCACTTCCAAGCCAGTCTTTCAAACACGAGTAATATGTAGGACCTGTACCTATTGGTGAAGAAAGCAAAGAAACAAAACAGCACTGGGGTCAATGGCTTTGGGTAAGCAAAAGCAGCTGTTCTTCCTGAGACTACCCACAACTGTATGCTGCGGGCCTTCAAAATTCCAATGCCCCTGCCTCTCTTCCTGTGACTGAAAATGGATAGCACGAAAGCTGTCTCCACGGACAGCCATTGAGGAACTGCAGGAGTTAAAAACAGAATTTCAGAAGAAGAAGAATATCAGGGGTGACCTAGAACTAAGGCGACCATAGAATTTATCACATTTGAGAGTAAAAGGAGGATGGGCATGGTGGCTCATGCCTGTAATCCCAGCACTTTGGGAGGCCGAGGCAGGCAGATCACCTGAGGTCAGGAGTTCAAGACCAGCCTGGCCAATACGGCGAAACCCTGTCTCTACTAAAAATAAAAAAATTAGCTGGGCATGATGGCGGGTGCCTGTAGTCCCAGCTACTCAGGAGGCTGAGGTGGGATAATCGCTTGAACCCGGGAGGCTAAGGTTGCAGTGAGCCAAGATCATGCCACCGCACTCCAGCCTGGGTGACAGAGCGAGACTGTCTCAAAAAAAGAGAGAGAGAGAGTAAAAGGAGTGTGGAATTGCTCATTTCATTGGGACAGCAAGGCTAACCTGAATGGCCCTGGGAGTATAGACATTTGCCTGCCTGATCTATAACACACTTTAATAAACACTGTGAGCTCATATACAGTCCCACCACCCAGCGTTAGCACTGCCAGTCTGAGTCTTGGAGCCTCAGCCAGCACAAGCCACACAGACAAGTACAGAGTCACCGCCCAGGCTACACAGTCATGCCCTCTGAACCAGAACCAGCTTGGCGTGTCTGGTGCTGCTTGTTCCATTTAGACAACTGGGAACGATGGAATTGAGACCTACTATGACAAATTTAAAAGCCTCCTTAATACCTTGATAATAAATTGATCTGGGATACCATTTTTGCTTAAAAAATTACATTCATGATAAATGTTGGCATATACCTGGGGGAAAACTGCTAACAATGGTTAACTCAGGGCAAACGTGGTGAATTCATTTCCTATACTATAAATTTTTATAATTTTTGAGTATTTATAACTTGCATATATTTATTATTGTTTAAACAGGAAAAAAATAAGAACTAAAGAAATTAAATTGCTGTTTGTTGTATTCAAATAAGAACATTGAAGGTTACTGTATGGCCCAGCAATTCTAATTCCTAGGTATACAGCCAAGAGAAAGGAGCACATGTGTCCACACAAAAACGTGAACACAAATGTTCTTAGCAGCATTACTCACCAGAGCCAAAAGGAAAACAACCCAAATGTCCATTAACTGATGAATGGATAAACAAAATACGGTACCTCCATTCATTAAGATATTATTTAACTAGAAAAAGGCATGAGGCTGGGCCTGGTGGCTCATATCTGTAATCCCAGCACTTTGGGAGGCCAAGGCAGGTGGATCATCTGAGATCAGGAGTTCGAGACCAGCCTGGGCAACATGGTGAAACCCCGTCTCTACTAAAAATACAAAAAATTAGCTAGGCATGGTGGCGGTCACCTATAATCCTAGCTACTCAGGAGGCTGAAGCAGGAGAATCGCTTGAACACAGGAGGCAGAGGTTGCAGTGAGCTGAGATTGCACCATTGCACTCCAGCCTGGGCAATAAGAGCGAAACTCCATCTCAAAAAAAAAAAAAAAAGAAAGAAAGAAAAAGAAAAAGGCATGAAATACTGATATGGGCTAAAACAGGCCATGAACCTTGAAATCATCATCATGCTAAGGGAAAGAAGTCAGACACAAAAGGTCATGTATTGTACGATTCTATGTGCATGAAACGTCTGGAATAGGAACACCTATAAAGACAGAAAGTAGGTGAGGGCTTGACAGCGGCTGGGGGCATTTTGAGAAATCAAGAGTGACTACTAATGGACACGGTGTTTCTTTTGGGGGTGATGAAAATGTTCTAGAATTAGATAGAGGTAATAGTTGGACAACTTTGTGAATATATTAAAACCCACCAAATTGTATACTTTAAAAAGGTATGTGAATTATATCTCAGGAAAACAAAAACTGAAGGAAGAGGGAAAACAAAGGTTACATTGCATTGTTTATATTTGATGTGGTATTACTTTCAGTTATTGATTGTACATATCTTATTTCTGTTCCTAGATTATGATCATCACAGGGTCAGGACTTTCACACCCAGCCCCTCACAGGTTCTCGGCAGAGTTTTCTTTTTTTTTTCTTTCTTTCTTTCTTTTTTTTTATTATACTTTAAGTTTTAGGGTACATGTGCACATTGTGCAGGTTAGTTACATATGTATACATGTGTCATGCTGGTGCGCTGCACCCACTAACTCGTCATCTAGCATTAGGTATATCTCCCAGTGCTATCCCTCCCCCCTCCCCCCACCCCACCACAGTCCCCAGAGTGTGATATTCCCCTTCCTGTGTCCATGTGATCTCATTGTTCAATTCCCACCTATGAGTGAGAATATGCGGTGTTTGGTTTTTTGTTCTTGCGATAGTTTACTGAGAATGATGATTTCCAATTTCATCCATGTCCCTACAAAGGACATGAACTCATCATTTTTTATGGCTGCATAGTATTCCATGGTGTATATGTGCCACATTTTCTTAATCCAGTCTATCATTGTTGGACATTTGGGTTGGTTCCAAGTCTTTGCTATTGTGAATAATGCCGCAATAAACATACGTGTGCATGTGTCTTTATAGCAGCATGATTTATAGTCCTTTGGGTATATACCCAGTAATGGGATGGCTGGGTCAAATGGTATTTCTAGTTCTAGATCCCTGAGGAATCGCCACACTGACTTCCACAATGGTTGAACTAGTTTACAGTCCCACCAACAGTGTAAAAGTGTTCCTATTTCTCCACATCCTCTCTCAGTGAATGTTGTTGAATAGCCCTAGGCAGGGGCTGCCATCCGGGGATCAGCTGCGTTCTGATGACTTTTCGTTGGGTTCCATACGCCCAAACGGCTCAACAGGTTCTCTGATCAGCCAGGACATATCCAACAGAGTCATTCTGCACACACGTTGCATCATTACTCCGGGGAACACTGTGAAGTTAGCTGGCCAACAGCGCAAAAAGGTATCCCAAGAACAATCAGGAAAACAAGCAAGAAGGCCAAGTTAAGAAACCAAACAAAAAATTTTCCACCAAACTTTGAGCTAGAAACATTTTTTTTTTAAGTAGCAAGAATCCAACAAATATTTAAACCACAAATCTATTCCAGGGTGTGTATATAATGTCAAAATATGTGGCTGAACAGTTTGTCATATCTGAGCTGGCTGCCAAACACAAACTGTTCAGCATTTCAAGCTCTGATATTTGGGGTAGAAAAGGCTAAGAGGTTGCTCTTTAAGAATAAGCTTTTATTGTGGATTTTGGAAGCTTCTCCTGGGATGGAGAAGATACAAAAGCCAAGCCTGAAACAAAGAAGCAAAGACACACCACCCCTGGGGTGATGGGATTTAAAAGAAAATCAAAAACAGTTTAGAAGTTAATAACATCCCCTAAAATTAATAAGTAAAGCATACTCAATTGTCTTCCATTGCTGAAGGTAGTATTTTTTAAAACCTCACTTTATCTAATGGGGACACAGAAGGAAATGATTTTTTGTTTTTAGCAACTTGAAATGATAACGAATTTAATTATAACTATGGCAGGTAGGGGTTCTGAAAAGCAGAAACCATTCCTCCAGTTGACTTTTATTTAGTCAATTTTTGCAAAGCAATTGAAGTTCCACATTAAACACACAAGGAAAATGACCCACGACAAGTGAGACAATTTGTTGGCATCTGCTATGGCTTGAATGTCCCCTCCAAAACTCATATTGAAACTTAATCCCCAATGTGATAGCATTTAGAAATGGGGCCTTTCTGAGCTGATTGGGTCATGAGGGCTCTGCCCTGAAGAATGAATTAATGCAGTCATGGATTAATGGATGAATGTGTTATCACGGGAATGGGACTGATGGCTTTACAGGAAGAGGAAGAGAGACCCGACCCAGGATGCTCAGCCTCCTGTACCACCTCTGCAGAGAGCCCCCACCAGAAACAAGGCCATCACCAAATGTGGCCCCCTGATCTTGGACTTCTCAGCCTCCATCACTGTAAGAAATAAATTTTTTTTCTTTATAAATTACTCAGTTTCAGGTATTCTGCTAGAAGCATCAGAAAAGTGACTAAGACCGCATCTGAAGGGAGGAACGTTTAACATGGTGGGGTTTTGCCATTTTTGTGTTAATTCTGGAATTAAGACAAATTCCAGCCTCCCAGATGGTGCACCGAGTGAACATTACCAGGACCCCCAGATTTGCACAGAAAGGATTCTCCTGACCATCTGCAAGCATCCAAACCAGTTGATCCTTTTGAGGGCAGAGTTTAGAATGGACATTGGCCCATAGCCGAATCCATTTGGAATTGGCACCCCAGCATTAACCATGGTGCATCTCTGATGCTCAACTGTAACCACGCTATGACTTCAGGAGCACCAGGAAAGAGAGACAGGAGGGAGAGGATGATGGGATAAACTTTACTTGCCACAGACTTTGGTCTAAGCCAGCCTTCTGTGGCCCTGCTGGGACTTAGCAACCATTAAGATAGGTCTGGCTGGGCGCGCTGGCTCACACCTGTAATCCCAACATTTCGGGAGGCCGAGGCAGGCAGATTATTTGAGGTCAGGAGTTTGAGACCAGTCTGGCCAACATGGAGAAACCCCATCTCTATGAAAAATACAAAAATTAGCTGGGTTTGGTGGCGCACATCTGTAATTCCAGCTACTCAGGAGGCTGAGGCAGGAGAATCACTTGAACCTGGGAGATGAAAGCTGCAGTGAGCCAAGGTCACACCACTGCACTCTAGCCTGGGTGACAGAGTAAGACTCTGTCTCAAGAAAAAAAAAAACATAGGTCTGTGAGCAACACAACATAAAATTAGAGAGACTCTAAGAAAAAAATACATGAAAGAGATTTCAAAGAAGTGAAGGAAAGTGAGGGACATAAACAATTCTTTGTCCAGGCTGCATAATTTTAACACTACGGCCTTTGTGGCCACACACCACGCAGTTGTGAAGATGGGCTCCCAGTGACTGTCCCCTGAGATGGAGAAATAGCACAGGAAAGGAAGACTTTGCCATATTTGAAAAATGGGCCTTCCTGGGGGATGCCTGTAGAGAATACGAGAAAAAATGAGGAAAGAGAGACCATGTATGGCTGCCATAAGAAAAACTCTACACACCTACGGAGATGTGGGTAAAGCAACATGGAAAACGAGCACCAAAACAAAAACTCCGCTCCTCCTTCTCCCGCATGAAACGAACATAGAAAAGCAAATTACCTTCTGCAACACATTGCCTGCCATTGCCCGTATAGCCAGCGACACAGCTGCAGCAGAAGCCCGTGGCGTAGTCCCTGCACTCTGCGTGCACCGAGCACTGGTGTCTGTTGTTAGCACACGTCTGGCGGGAATCCGTGTTATAGCTGAAAACTGGTCCAAGAAAACAATTGCACACCTGTAAGCATTTCATGCAGCTCTAGCCCGGTGGGCTCTCTCATCTAGGCACCCTCAAGCACTGCAGGGACTCACACCTGCATGGGCAATTCAAGGGACCAGGCTCACTACAGAAGATTACAATCCCCTACAGGTAGCCACTTAAATAGTTACGTGAGCCTGGGCAACATGGTGAAACTCACATCACTGAGGCAAACAGGTCTAAAAGGAGTTGAGAAATCACAAGGTGATTATTAATTATTGAAAACTGCTAGAATCTAGTGTACTTGGCATCAATGTTAGATTAGTGCTATCCAATAGCAATCTCAGGATGGTGTCCATCCAAACTAGTGAGAACAATGAGCTTCATGTTTGGGGGGACTCTTAAAATATATATTAAAACATATATAATATATATTACCTATGTTATATAGGTCATATATAATATATATTACCTATGTTATATAGGTCATATATAATATATATTACCTATGTTATATAGGTCATATATAATATATATTACCTATGCTATATAGGTCATATATAATATATATTACCTATGTTATATAGGTCATATATAATAAATATTACCTATGTTATATAGGTCATATATAATATATATTACCTATGTTATATAGGTCATATATAACATAAATATATTACATATATGTAATATATATTAAATATAAATATATAACATATATGTGTAACTATATATGTAAATATGTACATATACATATATGTAAATATATAATATATATTTACATTATATTATATAATATATATTTACATTATATATTTATATATACATTATATATATTTACATTATAAATATTTATATAATATATATTTACATTATATTACATTATATAAAATACAATATATTACATTATAATACATTATAACAGATAAAATATATTTATATGTTATATAATAATATATAATACAGTATATACTACATATAATTATATGATATAATTTTTTTAATTTTTTATTGTGGTAAAATATATATAACATAAAATTTGCCATTTTAACAACCTTAAAATATGTACATATATTTTATCCTCCTTCCTCTGCCTCCCAAGTAGCTGGGACTGCAGGCGGGTGCCATTGTGCCTGGCTTATATTCTTTTTAATTTTAAATCACCTCCCACCCCACCCCAACATACACTTTTCCCTGAGGAATAATTTGGAAGCACTTATACTCAAAAGCTGAACAAAAATAATGCCCTAGTCACACCTGGGCTAAAAAGCCTTTGACCCAAGAAAGAAAAAGAACATCTCCCTATTTTAAATTTCCACATTCCAACTTTGTTTTATTAGAATCATGAACTAGCTCATTATATTTAATAATCCCGAGCAAATTAATTTGGAATGAAATTCAAAAGCACAAGAGGGGTAAACTTTCAGAGAAGATAATGATCCCATTCATAATTGACTGTTACGAGTGAAGAGAAAAGCAAAGTTTAAACCCAGGTAGACTCTATGAGTCCTACATACTCGGAAGGGAATTTCTGGCTTTATAAAGACAGCGTTTGGAGCCGAGCACACTTGAGCCCTGAACTGAACACGTGATGCCGCTGATTACTTAAACTCCAGCTGTGGGCAGAGCTCTCAGGGGTCATTATGGCCTGTGTACATGTGAACTATTCAAATAACACCAGGAATGCACTACTGGCCACAGAAGACTGACCTTTCTCTTCAACATAGGGAAATAACTGGGGTAGAGGGACAGGAAAACATCTGTTTTAGACACAATCTGCGTTCAAATCTAGGCTTTTTTCAGTCTTAAGTAATACACTGCCCCAAGTTGTTGGGCTGGATATGGTCTCATTCAAATGTGATGGCTTCACAAATGAGAATTTCAGAGACACCTAGAAAGGGTGGAGACAGGATGGAACTCAAAACCCAACATATGCAAGGAAACACACCCAACACATCTGGGGGAGATGACTCCAAAACCCACGGCAGAGTGGCATGTGCTGAGCAATGTAAGCATCACCCCAGGAACCCAGGGTGCAGTAGGAGAACCTAAGACATGAGCCCCTGTCCTTGTCCTGCCACCAAATGGCAGCTTCTCCATTTCCGTGCCTCAGAAGTAAGTCAGCACGCCAGCCAGTAAGCACCCCATCTCGTCCACAGTTTGGGATACTCGTGAGAACAAGCGTGTATGGCTACTGCTGTGAGATAAATCAGAACAAGTAAGGGCAAATAAAAATGAGTGAACAGTGTGGAATGGGCCAGACTTCTCTAAGAGTTTTATGATCATTCCTTAGTAGAAAAGCAGCAGACAGCTGCAATAAGCTTATCTAAAGGCTTGGACTATCCCATTTATATGAGTCTTAGTGGATTCCGTATCAAACTAATGTGAAAAAAAAATAATGAGGACAGTTTAGTTGGAACATCTTTTTTTTTTTTTTTCTTGAGACAGAGTCTTGCTCTTGCCAACCAGGCTGGAGGGCAATGGAGCGATCTCGGCTCACTGCAACCTCCACCTCTCAGGTTCGAGCGATTCTCTGGCCTCAGCCTCCAGATTGGCTGGGATTACAGATGCCTGCCACCACGCCTGGCTAATGTTTTGCATTTTTAGTAGAGGCAGGATTTCACCATGTTGTCCAGGCTGGTCTCCAACTCCTGACCTCAGGTGATGCACCCGCCTTGGCCTCCCAAAGTGCTGGGATAACAGGCATGAGCCACTGTGCCTGGCTAGAACATCTTTTATAAGAAAAATGAAAGCATCCAGGAGTTCTATTTTCCCTCAAAATGTAGCAAAAATCTGATATAACATAGTTGACCAGAAAATGTACTGTAAAACTTTTTTTTTCTTTTCGAGGCAGAGACTCACTCTGTTGCCAGGCTGGAGTGCAGTGGCATGATCTCGGCTCACTGCAACCTCTGCCTCCCAGGTTCAAGCAATCCTCCTGCCTCAGCCTCCCAAGTAGCTAGGACTACAGGCGTGTGTCACCACGCCCAGCTAATTTTTGTATTTTTAGTAGAGATGGGGTTTCACCATGTTGGCCAGGATGGTCTCAATCTCTTGAGCTTGTGATCCACCTGCCTCGGCCTCCCAAAGTGCTGGGATTACAGGTGTGAGCCACCACCCCCGACCCTATTTTTTTTTAAAGAGTATCTACTTTGATATATATATATTTTTTAATCTTCACAAACCAACTCTGAAACTGACGGGACCTGGGAAGAAAAATAATCAACAATTCTAATTCCAAAACCAAGAGGAAATAAATGTCAAAGATAAGCTTCATAGACAGCCAAAAGAACTTCTAAAATGTTTTTTCAGGTGGATGAATACATTTCTGATCTGAGAAATCACAAGAAAATCTGACTTTCAAAACAATTCTAACGGACGTTTTCTCTTTAAAACAGACAGAACGGAATACTAGGAAACTTGAAAGAAGACACACTCAACAGTCTCCAAAACCATGGTCCTAATCCCAAAAGATCACTGAGCATCTCTGAAGCCACTGGGCATATAACACCAAGGCTCCACGGCTGTGAGAGTTCAGCCTCTACTTTCCCAAGCTCTTATCTTTACAAACCACCATGTAATGCTCACAACTGACATCTCCCCAGCAGTACGCCTGTCTGGAAGCCCACACATCCAAGATCGTTACCAACTGCAACTTAAATGGTCTTACCAACTCCTGTTTCCTCAACTTCATCCACATCTATGACCTGAGGGTGCTGCTGGTGAAAAGTCTCCACTGCCAACTGGAAAGACCTGGTTCTCTCTGTGGGAGGTCCAAGGGGCCTTTCGGTAGCTGCCCGGCGCGGGGAGAGGACGCTGGGCACACTGTATGTGTCAGCACCTCCCCTTCTCAGAGCCTTGTAGGAGAAGGGCGTGGTGCCCACATCCTCCAGGCCCAGACGAGTGGTCGCCAGGTCATAATCTTCATCCTCATCATCATACTCTGCCCCATCTTCAGTTCCGAGGATCACGTCTGCAGGCACCACGCCATTGGTGGTGGCTGGACTCCCAATCTCAAACACCCAGACACCCTGCTGCCCAGAGTTACTACTCCTAGGAGGAAGGACAGGCTTCTTAGAAACAGGCCAGCAACCCACCAACAGCCACCACTACCCAAGCAGAGGGAGCCCTGAGGATCTGTGTTGGTCTGCAAGCCATCACCTGCAGCTAGGACTGGAGAGTGGAAGGGCACTGGCCGTCATGTCTGGGCGTCATGTGGCTGAGGCAGTCTAGGGCTGTCTGGTGAGACTGTGTCCAAATGGGCACAATACTAGCACAAGCTCAGTCCCAGCCATTCCAGAAGTGTGCTCCAGGGACACTATCAGGACTTAAAATTCAACTTGCTCATCCTAATTGCTGGTTACATGCTCTACCTTATGAGCTAAGGTGGCTCATAGGACTGACAGTGGCTTTAGGACTGAAGTCATTCATGCTCTCCACTATCTCTTTCCATGACATGGTATGATACAATTGAAAATACATGTTTGGTCTCTGTCCTCACATTCTGAAACAAGAGCTCCTACAGCCTTTGGAATTTCTGAAGTGATAAGAGTGTCTTTTGTAGGCTAATGAGTTGACTGATGGCTGGGAGCTCCTAGACAGTTTCAGGATGGGGGCTGGTGGCCAGAAAGACCAAGGCATGATTAGAAGGTTGGAATGTCCAGCTTTCCCCACTGCCTCCAGGGAGGGGAGATGGGCTGGAGATTGAGTCAATCACCAAGGATCAGTGATTTAATCAACTGTGCCTATGAAATAACACCACCATAAAAACCCTAAAATGATGGGGTTCAGAGAGCTTCTGGGTTGAACACATCAAGGTGCGGGAAGGCTGGTGTACTCAGAGACGGCATAGAAACCCTGCCCCCTTACCCATACCTTGTCCTATGCCTCTCTTCCATTTGGTTGTTCCAGAGTTGTATCCTTTAGAATGAACTGGTAATAGTGAAGCATTTTTCTGTGTTATGTGAGCCATTCTAGCAAATTATCAAATCTGAGGAGCATGCCATGGAAACCCTCCATTTATAGCTGGTTGGTCAGAAGTACAGGTGGAAACACAGGACTTGGGACTGGCATCTGAAGTGGGGGCAGTCCTGTGGGACTGAGCCCTTAACCTGTGGGGTCTGCAGTAACGCCAGTGCTAGAATTGAACTGAAGTGTAGGACACCCGGCTGGTGTGCAGAGAATTGGTTGGTGTGGGAAAAAAAACCCCACCCATTTGGTGTCAGAAGTGTGAGTGAAAACATTGCAGACGTGGTTTTTTAGAAATCCCAACTCCAGGGCCGGGCGCGGTGGCTCACACCTGTAATCCCAGCACTTTGGGGGGCTGAGGAGGGCAGATCATGAGGTCAGGAGATCGAGACCATCCTGGCTAACATGGTGAAACCCCGTCTCTACTAAAAATACAAAAAATTAGCTGGGCGTGGTGGTGGGCGCCTGTAGTCCCAGCTGCTCGGGACGCTGAAGCAGGAGAATGGCGTGAACCCGGGAGGCAGAGCTTGCAGTGAGCCAAGATCGTGCCACTGCACTCCAGCCTGGGCGACAGAGCAAGACTCCATCTCAAAACAACAACAAAAACAACAAAAAAAGAAATCCCAACTCCATTGGCTGTGAGATCTTGGACTAGTCTCAGTTTACCTTTGGTGCTTAAAGGATATGGTGAAAAGCAAATGAGATACAAAATCCAAAAGCATTTTATAACTATAAAATATAGTAGAATATCCCTAATCTCTACTTCTTCCTCCACCATTTTTACCATTCTTCTGTGTCTGTGATTGGAAGTGCTCCTATCAGAAATTACATGAAATAATTATATTATACGGTGGACAGAGGGGACATACATTACTCAGTGGAAAATACTGAGCAAAACAATGGGGTGGGGTGGGGATGATAAATCACAAAAGTCCTGCATAAATAGGATGTCTAATCAATTTGTCTGCCTGGGATTCAAGTAAAGACAGTGGTGTGTGGGAGCTTATATGGACTAGCTTGTGAGAGCTGGCTGTTAAAGTTTTAGGAATTTTGCAAGCCAGTTATTAAACACAGCCATTCTAAACAATTAAATTACATGAACTTCCAATTAAACAAGTTATATTTTTTAAAAGGAAAAAATATTCAAAACTCATCATATTCTAATCCTTTTGCTACTGTCCATGCTCTTGAAATTATATATATTAAACCTATTTTATCTTTATGGTGAGAATATATATAATGGTGCATGTTTTCTGAACTCTTCAATGAGTGACATGACGTTAATAACTTGAACTTGGCCATCGTAGGAGTATTTACATCACAGAAACAGGCAAACGCTATAAATCAGGTTCCTCTGCCCTCATAAAACCAGTTGTTAAGCATTTACCAGCACATCACTAAGTGAAGGGCAGAGGAATTCAAGCTAGATTTGAAGATATAAAATTAAAAGGTGGTTTTAGGGGATTCACTCTTGGTTTTTAAAGAATAATGGGAGAGGAAAGGTTTTAATCTTCAAAATCCAATTTGGGCTTTTCCCTCTTTTGTCAAATTCTACAACATAACCTGAGAGCACCATTTCTGTTGTAAGAATATTCCCCCTAGTCAATGTGAAGGAAAAGGTTTTCTCAGCCTTGAGATCAAAGGAGATAGGTTTGAATAACCCTTATTTCTAACAGTGTTTATAGACAAAATGGTAAAAACTGTCTTAAGGCCGGGCGCGGCACTTCATGCCTGTAATCCCAGCACTTTGGGAGGCTGAGGTGGGCAGATCACCCGAGGGCAGGAGTTCAAGACCAGCCTGGCCAACATGGTGAAACCCCGTCTCTACTAAAAATACAAGAATTAGCTGGGCATGGTGGCACACACCTGTAATCCCAGCTACTTGGGAAGCTGAGGCGAGAGAATCACTTGAACCTGGGAGGCAGAGGTTGCAGTGAGTCGAGATTGTGCCATTGCACTCCAGCCTTCCAGCTTGGGCAACAGAGTAAGGCTCTGTCTCAAAAAAAAAAAAAAAAAAAAAAAAAAGAACTATTTTAAATGAGGATGATATCTAAAAAATAGGATATCTGTTCATTCTAAAAATACATTTCCTTAAGTTCATCAGAAAAAGAGTATCTCATAATATAAAAACTATATGCAAAACTTAAATCCATAGGAACATTTTTAGGTAATGATCTATAATACACATTACATTATCCACATTAAAAAATATTAAGAGGAGAATCTACTGAAGAACAAAGAAAGCATACTTGGCCAAATTTTCAACTGATTCCCTGTCATTAGCAAATATGTTATAAGCTCCGTTGCTCTTCCATAAGAATCCCACTGAACCTTGACTGAATGCAACCACGGCAGGAACTTGGTTGTTTTCCTTCTTTGAGAATGTCGTATGGAACTGCAGACCATCCTCAGGATAAAGGAAAATGGCATAGGAGCTGGAATCAGAGGAGGCTAGAACAGCCTGGAACGTGTTTCTCTGTGAAGATGAGTTAAAATTCAGTTACTCGGAAAAATATCGATAGATTTTAAAATGTGTTATTCGCCAGACTATCTATAAAGCGTACAGTGCTATAGAGCGATGGCAATATTCTCACCTTATTCTAAAAGAAGGACTTTTGTAGCAAGAACCTAGGATTCTGGGATAGTTCCACTGAAATATCCCTAAGGCTATGTCAACATGACATTTTCTGATTAATTCATAAATATCTTCTGCATAACTGTGGCCCTAAGGTTAACCAAAAATTATACAGATGGTACCTCCAGATGGTGGCCTAAAATCTCACGCAGTTTAGGAAATTCTTACCCAAAGACTTTGTTTCCATGGCTGTTAACATATTCAACCGCATTCATCGTTTAACAAACATTTATTGAACCCAAGCACCGTACAGTAGAAAAAACAAAACAAAACATGAGATTTGGGAGAAAACAGACCTGGATCCAAATCTTTGCTCTACTCATTATTATGTGACTTGGGCGTGATACTTGAGTTCCCTAAGCCTCGATGTTTGCATCTGTAAAATGGAGATAAAACCACCTCCTTCACAGAAATGAGGAAGACTACATGAGGTCACGTATGAAAGAGCAGGCACATGCCGGGCGCGGTGGCTCATGCCTGTAATCCCAGCACTTTGGGAAGGCTGACATGTGAAGAAAACATTGCAAAACCTGAGGTTGGATTCTGTAATCGAAACATTTGCAAAGCGCTGCAGGAGCCGTAAGAGGAAGCGTCCCATGCCAGGAGCGGTGGGAGTGCATCCCATGCCAGGAGGCTGTGGTTGGTCAAGGCCTCACGGGAGGGCCCAGTCTGAATGAACAAGCAGGAGGAAGCTGCCACCTGTAGGGGGGTCAGGGAGAGGACGTCCCAAACAGAGAGGACAGCCTGTGCAAGATACTGCGGATAAAAAAAAAAGAGCAAGGGCAAGGTCAGGGAATTACATGTAATTTGGTATAGCGGCTGCAAAGGGTATGCGGAGGTGGAACAGATTAGGCCCAAGAGGCAAGCAAGGGATCCATACCAATGGGTTAGGCATTTATCACCCAAGTGAAAGGGAGGCAGCTGAGACACTTAACATTTAAGCTGTTTTCAAGTTTGGCACTCAGACAGATAACAGTTGGCAAGCAAAATGTGTCATGCAGGCCCCTAACAGACTTTCCCAAAGTGTGCTCTGTGGGATGTAATGCATCTTTTTTGGAGCGGGGGAAGGGAAGAGGTATGGTCACAGGTTTGGAGACTGCTCAGTTAAACAATATTCGGCAAGGCTGGAATGGTGGCTCACGCCCTTAGTCCCAGCTACCTGGGAGGCTGAGGCAGGAGAATCACTTGAACCCAGGAGGTGGAGATTGCAATGAGCCAAGATGGCACCACTGCACTCCAGCCTGGGTGACAGAGCAAGACTCTGTCTCAAAACAAAAACAAAAACAAAAACAAAAAAAGTAGTATTAGGCAAGTTGCAAGTTTCCTGACTGCAGGACTTTTCAGAGTGAACAGGGTGAATCACCAAGAGGGAGATATAGTTTTAGCATTTCCCAAACTAGAAGGCCTTTTCCTCAAGGTGTATCTTGTAGGACTGGTGTTTTGTGGTACACACTTTAGGAACCACCAGCCTGAAATACCTCCCATTTATATGAAGTGCTTTGGGACCCTTCAAGTTTCTTTCTTCCTCATTTTCCTATAAAGGTGAAGTTATGGTAGAGAGAAATTATTTTTCCAAGGGAAAATCGAGGCCTGTCCTAAAAAGTCACTTCAGGTCTAACAACGAGTTCCTGACCTACTCAAAGACCCTGCTTCCTTCAAGGGCAAGTCCGTGCTCTACAGCCTGGTCCTTCCAGCCGTCCCTGATGACTGCGCCCACGGAGAGGCCAACCCTGGGTTATGACAATACTTGGGTTTTGAACCACTCACATGGTCCAAATGATTCTTGTCTCCCCAACTAGAGTCTGGGCTTTACCTTTCTATCTTTGCATCCCTCAGGAGTACTTTGTTATTTTAACCTATCGTTTCATATTAATAATTTCTCTAGTCAGAAACTATCCTTCCAGCCGGGCTCGGTGGCACACACCTGTAATCCCAGCACTTTGGGAGGCTGAGGTGGGTGGATCATTTGAGGTCAGCAGTTGGAGACCAGCCTGGCCAATGTGGTGAAACCCCATCTCTACTAAAAATACAAAAATTAGCCAGTGTGGTGGCCCATGCCTGTAATCCCAGCTACTCGGGAGGCTGAGGCACAATAATTGCTTGAACCTGGGAGGTGGAGGCTGCAGAGAGCTGAGATTGTGCCACTGTACTCCAGCCTGGGCAACAGAGCAAGACTCCATCTCAAAAAAAAAAAAAAAAAAAAAAAAAAGGCCGGGCATGGTGGCTCACGCCTGTAATCCCAGCACTTTGGGAGGCTGAGAAGGGTGGATCACGAGATCAAGAGATAGAGACCATCCTGGCTAACATGGTGAAACCCTGTCTCTACTAAAAATACAAAAAAAACCAGCCGGGCGTGGTGGTGGTCGCCTGTAGTCCCAGCTACTCGGGAGGCTGAGACAGGAGAATGGTGTGAACCGGGGAGGCGAAGCTTGCAGTGAGCCAAGATCGTGCCACTGCACTCCAGCCTGGGCGACAGAGCGAGACTCCATCTCAAAAAAAAAGAAAAATAAATAAATAAATAAATAAATTATCCTTCCACTATCTGCCACCTGAGGTAAGAGCAGCCAGGGGATGCCATTTATCAACCCTATTTTTGCCACATAGCAGTCTTACCAGGAATTGCTTTGCTTTATGTCTACTTGTCATTAAAACGTAGAGTTATACAACCTTGCAGATAAGCTTTTGGAGGTTTGGGACCTGCAATAACCAGCCTACTAGATTTTGCTTTGGATTTCCTGTCTTTATCAATGGTGTATAACTTATGTCAAAGCAGCACAAGGCGTGAGACCAAAGTGTATGAAGCCAATGTGTCTGATTACCTGCACTTGGACCTGGAGGGGAGCTTACCTTGCCTTTCTGGTCTGGGTCCCTGCTGGGCCCTTGGTAGGGGGCCACGGATTCCCAAGTGACAACCACCGCGCTACTAGGCTGGAAAGAGATCTCCGGGAACCCTCTGTGGACACACTCTGCTGCTCGCTGAGTGATGGAGGGGGATAAGTCTTCTCGATAATAAACCTTCCCCAGGCCATCGGTCGTGTCCAAGTCCGCCAGGAAAGGGGCGACTGCACCGAATGTTGGTGGGAAGAGCCCGGGATGGGATTCTTTGGCCGGGGGTTCACTCGTAGCAATGATGCCATTTGTGGTGACCTGTACAAAACCAAGTGTGGTTAAAAGGAATGCAGAAACGGGTCCTTTCTCAGTAAGACTGAGCACCCACTCCTAGAATACTGTCAGCTGTACCCATGCTGTGTAGAATACAACAGAATCTGAGAAAGATACGAGCCTGAACCGCATACCCCAGCATTCATTTCTAGGCAAAATGGGCTGTGTGGAAAGAGAACAGGAGTCATTATTCAAATCCTAGTGAATTTACTCGAAAAAGGGAGTAATCACTCCCTACCAGGACTGCTAATTGGTGTGCGTACAAACATGGTTAGGAGCCTGGGCATCAAAGTGAGATCCCATCTCTACACAAAAATACCAAAAATTAGCCAGGCTTGGTAGCTCGGGCCTGTAGTTCCAGCTACTTGGGAGGCTGAGCTGGGAGGATGGCTTAAGCCCCGGGAGGTCAAAGCTGCAGTGAGCCATGATCACGCCAGTGCACTCCAGCCTGGGTGACAGGGTGAACCCTTGTCTCAAAAAAGAAAAAGAAAGAAAAGAAAAATGGTTAAGGTCCAGCCCCCACCTTTTAAGAAATCCACAATCCAGAAGGATAAGGGAAAGGACTGACACAAAGAGATGATGACACAATATAGCATCAAGAAGCAAATCTGTATGGGGCATTATGGTATCACTAATTATTTTAAAGTTTAATGTGTCAGGATAATAGCTAATATTTACTGAATACTCACCATATTCCAGGCATTTTTACTAATGTCTAATGCTCAGAAGAACCTCTTAAGACTAGGTACTACTGGCCGGGCGTGGTGGCTCACACCTGTAATCTCAGCACTTTGGGAGGCCGAGGTGGGCAGATCGCGAGGTCAGGAGTTTAAGACCAGCCTGGCCAACATGGTGAAACACCATCTCTACTAAAAATTCAAAAATTAGCCGGGCGTGATGGCGGGCACCAAATCCCAGCTACTCGGGCGGCTGAGGCAGGAGAATCACTTGAACCCAGGAAGCGGAGGTTGCAATGAGCCAAGATTGCACCACTGCATTCCAGCCTGGGCAACAGAGCAAGACTTCATCTCAGGGGAAAAAAAAAAAAAAAAGACTAAGTACTACTAATATCTATATTTTTCTGATGGGGAAAATTAGGCAAATTCATCAATGTGTCCAAAGTTACCAAGGAATAAGTGGCAACACTGGGATTTGAACCCACGGAGTCCGACTCCAAAATTGGTCCTTTTCCAAAATCAGTCCTTTTAATTACTTCATGAATTGCCTTCTTGAAATCAGTTATAACTGCTTATTAAAAGATATCACTGGCCAGGTGTGGTGGCTCACGCCTGTAATCCCAGCATTTTGGGAGGCTGAGGCGGGTGGATCACCTGAGGTCAGGAGTTCGAGACCAGCCTGACCAACATGGTGAAACCCTGTCTCTAATAAAAATACAAAATTAGCCGGACATGGTGGTGCACGCCTATAATCCCAGCTACTCAGGAGGCTGAGGCAGGAGAATCGCTTGAGCCTGGGAGGTGGGGATTGCAGTGAGCCAAGACTGCACATTGCACTCCAGCCTGGGCAACAAGAGAGAAATTCCATTTCAAAAAAAAAAAAAAGATATCACTGTTCTTACTCAGCTAAAACCCATGCTCCTTGAGAAAATGGGAAGAGGGCCCCTGAGATACTGTGGCAAACAGCCCCTTGGAGTGGGGGCACTCAGGCTCACCAGTGAAGTCTAACACCCTCTCACTTTCTTGTTAGTGCACAATCCACTGATGACATGGAAGACCAAGCCAGTGATAGTTTTCCTTAGATAATCTGTGAATTGAAAGAAAAAAATCCCCTAGCTGGGTGCAGAGGCTCACGCCTGTAATCCCAACACTTTGGGAAGCGGAGGTGGGTGGATCATTTGAGGCCAGGAGTTCGAGACCAGCCTGGCCCATATGGCAAAACCCCGTCTCTACTAAAAATACAAAAAAAAAATTAGCTGGGCATGGTGGCAAGTGCCTGCAGTCCCAGCTACTTGGGAGACTGAGGCAGGAGAATTGCTTGAGCCCAAGAGGCAGAGGCTGCAGTGAGCCGAGATTGCACTGATGATGCACTCCAGCCTAGGCAACAGAGCAAGAGTGTCTCGAAAAAAAAAGAGAGAAAGAAGAAGATTCCCTAATCAAAAGGGAGAGATTTTGCAAATGGCACTTTATTTTGCTCTTTAAGGGCTGCAGATTGGAAAAACACGAATCCAGAATAGCAACCCTCAGTTGTTAGAAGGCCAGTGGATTTTCCAGGCCACTTATTTCCCTCCCCCTCCCCCTGCCCCTCCCCCTCCCCTCCCTCCTCCTCCTCCCAGAGTCTTATCCCTCAGTCACTTCACACTTCATTACTAGAGGAGAGTGCAGGGGCAGAAAAAAAGAGAGGAACTAAAGACCAAACTCTAAACATGCCAAAAACTTGCTATTAATAAAAAGGTTCAATGTGCAGAACCGATTGGCACCCAGGTGAGGATTGGAACCAGGGCTCTGGGAGTGAAATGCAGACTTAACAAAACTTTCTCTTTTAACCACATGTTATGGGCTATTAACTCTTTGGGTGACATATTTTCCATCATCACCCGGCACCAGCAAGGCTTTTCTAGAAGATACTGGCAGGCTGTGGAGAAGGGAGTCAGACACGGGGCTTCTTCCAGCCGGTCCCTCTGTCTCCCTTCCAGGGACCCAAACATCTCCCAGCACAAGCATCCCAGGGAGCTGCCGTGTGGGAGCGTGGGAAACGGCTCACTCTCTCGAGCCGCCAGAAGTTGGCAGTAAGCAGTTGGAAGTGATCACAGGGAGGCCACATCCAGACAATTTAGTTTTAAAAAGCTGCTTTCCAGTGAAATTTAAATCAGTCCATTAATTTTGAAAACACTCTCAGTGTCTTTTATTATTTGGAATCTAGGCATGGGAATATTTCTATTTTCACAAGGAATGTTTTAAGAGTCAGGTTTTAGGACAAATGTCATGCAGCACTGCAAATGCTTTGGACAACGGTCATATAACCCTCATTAGTATTTGCATTGGAAAATTATTTTTCAGCTAATTTTACTGAACATTCAGCTCGATCGTCTGTGATAATGAAGAAGGATGACTTCAAAGATAAATGTAATGTGCAGAACAGCCAGAAGTTTCACTGGATTCTTAGCTTTAAACTTCTCCCTTGTAAACTTCATTTTCCTGGAAGTAACAGTTAATAGCAAAGTTGATGAAAAATATTCCCGTCCACTTGGGTGCAAGTCTCATTTTGCAAAGTCTGTCAAATGCACGATGCTCCTATCAGCCTTGTTCCTTTTCTCCATCTTTTGAAAGTACCATTGGACAATTCAACAGCAGAAGGGCAGGGAGCAAAAAGGGAAAGGACACAGGCACTCAGGCAGGAGGAGGCACAGACTCAGGCACAATCCCCAAGGGCACTGGGCCGGGGAGTCCTCGGGCCCATGTGACCACTGATGCCCAGGCCATCACCAATATTCGCTCAGTTGGTGAAGCCAGGAAACCTGGAAGTGGGTCCTGGTTCCTTCCTCTTTCTCACCACCCACGCTGCATGTCCTGTCTCCAACTACAGCAGGTCCTCAAATAACTTCATTGCATTCAACGTTGTTTTGTTATAACGTTGATGAGAAAAAAAAAATCTATTCCCTGCTGGAGCCACCGTCTGTGTGGGGTGTCCGTGTTCTCCCCATGTCTGCATGGCTTTTCTCTGAGTACTCTGGTTTCCTTCCACATCCCAAAGCTATGCCAAAGTCGGGTGAACTGGCATGTCTAAACTGTCCGACTGTGAGTGAGTGTGGGTGTGTGGGAGCCCCCTTGTGATAGGACAGCAACCTGTCCAGGGTGGCTCCTGCCTGGCACACTGAGCTGCTGGGATGGGCTCTGGCCACCCTCCTCTCTGAACTGGAATAAGCAGCTGGAAAATGAATGAATGAATGAATGAATGAATACAAATGATCACAGAATGAAAATGTATCAAGTACGAGTAATCACACCAATAAATTATGCACCAATGAATTATACACCAACAAAAGTACTCGGCAAGCTGCCGGATTTGTGATTGTTTGTTTTTGAACTTCGTGGGTCAGAAGTGTTGACAATGTTGCTTTGCAAACATTTCTTCCCTGATTGAACCCACTACCATCATGACCTCCATTATTCACTGATTCATCAAAAATTGGGTAAATAATATCTTGGTTGTTTTTATTCATCTTAAATGTATGTAGAGCTCACATTTATTTATTTCAATGTTTAATACTAGAAGTGTTTTGGGCTTCATGGGAAGTTTGGTGATGTGTTTCTGACCAGAAATAAGCCATAGGAACTTAAATGTTGTTTCTGTCAATTACCCGACAGTCAAATCGGTTTAGTTATGCATGTTTAGCTTGAAGCCACAGTATCCAAGAACCTATCCACAATGTTAAGTGAGAAGCTACTGTATATGGCACTTTCTCCATCTCAGCTACCAACAGCACGCCCCCGCCCAACCCCACCACCTCGTTAGTCACATGACTGTCCCTTCTTATCCTTATTCCTCAGCTGAAACAGTGCCTTCTCAGAGAGCTTCCTGGCATCCCCTCCAGTGGAAGCTCCTTCCACTCACTCTTTTTTCCCTTCCCTCACACCCCCAGCCCCTGATATGTCTTCTTCCTGCCTATTTGTAGGTTCTGGCTTCTCTCCCCACTATGTGGTCATTTCTTCACGGTCAGGGACTCCATTTGTCTTGGTCACCACAGTAGTTCCAGAGCTTACACATGGTCTGATACATATGAGTCTCCCCACTTCCTGACTTCCTCCAATATAGGGGACAGGCAGGTTCAAAGCAGGATAAGACCTGTGCACCCAGGTTATTTTAGAAATAAGGCCTGAGGGTGAGCTCAGTTGTAAGTGATATGAAGGGTCAGAGAACTGTGCATTACTGCCGTTCTTGCCACTGGAGTAAAATGCCAATTACTAAAATAAAATAAATAAAAAGTGCATAACTTGAATTCAGTCATGTCTCCAGATCTAACTGCCAGTTTACAGGAAATACAGGAGACAGAAGAACATGCTAATGGACACAATGGGATGCAATCAGCAAAATCCAGAATATAAAGCACTAAAATGGAGAAATATCTAGTTTCTTGAACAAATAAATTTTAAAGAAAAAAAAGAGCTGGGGTTAGGGGAGGACCTATAGATTTTAAAAATTCTAAGAGATGGCTAGGCGAGGTGGCTTGCTCCTATAATCCCAGTATTTTGGGAGGCAAAGGCTGGCAGATCACCTGTGGTCAGGAGTTTGAGAGCAGCCCGGCCAACATGGTGAAACCCTGTGTCTACTAAAAATACAAAAATTAGCTGGGTGAGGTAGCAGGTGCCTGTAATCCCAGCTACTTGGGAGGCTGAGGCAGGAGAATCGCTTGAACCTGGGAGGTGGAGGTTACAGTGAGCCGAGACTGCGTCATTGCACTCCATACTGGGCTACAAGAGCAAAACTCCATCTCAAAACAAAAGTCCTAAGAGACACATCTACCAAATGTAATGTGTGGGCTTTGTCTGGGCCCTGATTTAAACCAATCACCTGAAAAGCAAAATAAAACATTTCATGAAACCATTTGCATATTGGACAATATTAAGGAATTATTATCATTTCTTAAAGTATGATCATGATTTTACTATTTTGTTTTTTTAAAGAATTTTTTTTTTTGAGACAGAGTCTCGCTCTGTCACCCAGGCTGGAGTGCAGTGGTGCAGTCTCGGCTCACTGCAACCTCTATCTCCTGGATTCAAGCAATTCTCCTGCCTCAGCCTCCCGAGTAGCTGGGACTACAGGTGTGTGCCACCACATCTGGCTAATTTGTATATTTTTAGTGGACACAGGGTTTCACCATGTTGGCCAGGCTAGTCTGGAACTCCTGAGCTCAAGCTATCCGCCCGCCTCAGCCTCCCAAAGTGCTGGGATTACAGGTATGAGCCACTGTGCTCGGCCTAAAGAGTCTTTTCTTCTGAGGCACATCTGAAACATTTACAAAACGATAAAATATTTGGGATTTGCTTAAAAATAATTCAGGGCCGCGTGCGGTGGCTCACGCCTGTAATCCCAGCACTTTGGGAGGCCGAGGTGGGTGGATCACGAGGTCAGGAGATCGAGACCATCCTGGGTAACACGGTGAAACCCCGTCTCTACTAAAAATACAAAAAATTAGCCGGGCGTGGTGGCGGGTGTCTGTAGTCCCAGCTACTCGGGAGGCTGAGGCAGGAGAATGGCGGGAACCCGGGAGGTGGAGCTTGCAGTAAGCCAAGACCACACCACTGCACTCCAACCTGGGCGACAGAGCAAGACTCCATCTCAAAAATAATAATAATAATAATAATAATTCAGTTTGGGGATGGGGAGGGAACATTAGGAATAAGTGAGGACATCAATGAAAGAAGATTAGTCTCAAATTGGTACTTGTTGGAGCTGGTAATGGATACATGGGAGTTCATTATATTTTTGAGTATATTTGAAATTTTTCATAATAAAAGTTTATTTTTTAAAAACATATAACAGGTCTGGTGCAGTGGCTAATCACACCTGTAATTCTAGCCACTGGGGAGGCTGAGGCATGAGAATCACTTGAATCCGGGGGGTGGAGGTTGCAGTGAGTCAAGATCACGCCACTGCACTCCAGCCTGGGTAACAGAGTGAGACTCCATCTCAAAAAATAAAAATAGAAAAAAAAAACATACAACAAACCTGATTGATCTGAAGTTCAGCAAAGAAAGGCAAATGGCTCTAATAGATAAGCCAAGACTAACGTTCTCTGTCAGTAGGGCCTGTGGCTCATTGTCCTTGTTTTTATTTGGTTTTGTTTTTCCAGGTTTATTGAGGTATAACTGATAAACAAAAGTGTATAAGTTTAGGGTGTACAACGCGATTTGATACAGGTATATGTTGTGAAATGAATAGCACAATCAAGTTGGTTAGCAAAGCTATTACAGATAGCCGTGATAGATCAACGGGACAGAACTGAGAGCCTAGAGGTGAACCCACACATTTACGGTCAACTAGTGTTTGACAGGGCCACCAAGAACACACAATGAGACAAGGTAGTCTCTCCAATAAACAGTGCTGGGAAAATTGGATATCCTCCTGCAAAAGAATGAAAATGGACCCCTATTTTATAGCACTCATAGAAATTAACTCGCAATGGATTGAAGAATTAAATGTAAAACCTGAAACTATAAAACTCCTAGAAGAAAACAATAAGGAAAAACTCCTTGATATTGATCTTGACAATTACATTTTGGACATGACACCAAAAGCACAAGCAACAAAAGCAAAAATTAAGAAGAGGGACTCCTTCACTGTCTTTTTGTGTTCGTGAAGACCCACTTTATTATTTTATTTGTATTGATGCATCATATTTGTACATATTTATGGGGTACACGTGGAGTATATATTTTGATACATGCATACATACAATGTGTAATGATCAAATCAGGATAATTAGGAAATTCACCGTCTCAAACATTTATCTTTCTTTGCATTGGGAACATTTCAAATCTTCTTTTCTAACTATTTTGAAATATACAATATTGGTTAACTATAGTCACTCTACTCTGCTACCAAACACTAGAACTTATTCCTT
Source organism: Homo sapiens (assembly GCF_000001405.40). Taxonomy (NCBI): domain Eukaryota; kingdom Metazoa; phylum Chordata; class Mammalia; order Primates; family Hominidae; genus Homo; species Homo sapiens. The sequence goes on from NC_000001.11 coordinate 236,056,587, forward strand.
CTATCGAACTGTATGTTTGTACCCATTAACCAACCTCTTTTCGTCCCATACCCTACCCTTCCCAGCCTCTGGTAACCACCATTCCACTCTCTACGTCCACCCTTCATGGTCTTTGAATTTCTTCCTTCCCCAGACTTTCCTACCACTGCCACTCCCCTCCCAGGGACACAGGAGTGTTAGTTGCACTGGGCACATTAGACCACATTAATGAGCAGAAGGTGGTGCTGGTAAAAGCAGATTTTGTAATTAAAACTAATCAAAAGTTACAGAGCCTGAGGCACCCCATACAGTGCCCTGAGTCCAGGAAAAAAAAAAACAAAAACATGAAGCGTAAGTATTGCACGGCAGTTACCAGTATCACTTTCTGTTCACTACATTTGTACTAGTTTAAAAAGTACACGATGGCTCATGCCTATAATCCCAGCACTTTGGGAGGCCAAGGCAGGTGGATCACCTGAGGTCAGGAGTTTGAGGCCAGCCTGACCAATATGGTGAAATCCCGTCTCTACTAAAAATACAAAAATTAGCCAGGCGTGGTGGTGGGTGCCTGTAATCCCAGCTACTCAGGAGGCTGAGGCAGGAGAATCGCTTGAACCCGGGAGGTGGAGCCTGCAGTGAGCTGAGACTGTGCCACTGCACTCCGGCCTGGGAGACAGAGAGAGAATCCATCTCAAAAAAGTACATGGATTATGGGATCGCACTTTAGTTTTTATGAATGTTGGTGAGTAAAAGGCTAGAGGAGAAATGTGCCAGAAAAAAATTTTAGATTGCTTTTAATTCTCCAAACTCTCCATGGTGTCTCTCCTAGTTAACACTACATGCTTTTGGATCTATGATTCCCTCCTTCTTGAAAACCTCCTCAGCTGGGCGTGGTGGCTCACACCTGTAATCCCAGCACTTTGGGAGGCTGAGGCGGGCGGATCACCTGAGGTCGGGAGTTTGAGCCCAGCCTGGCCAACATGCTGAAACTCTGTCTCTACTAAAATTACAAAAATTAGCCGGGCGTGGTCATGCACACCTGTAATCCCAGCTACTCAGGAGGCTGAGGGTGCAGTGAGCCGAAATCTCGCCACTGCACTCCAGCCTGGGCAACAGAGTAAGACTGAAAGAAAGAAGGAAAGAAAGAAAGACGGAAAGAAAGAAAGAAAAAGAGAGAGAGAGAAAGGAAAGGAAAAAAAAGAAAAGAAAAGAAAAAAAGAAAAAGAAAACCTCCTCAAAAAACCTTCTTGATAATTCTCAGCTCATGTGCTTGGCAAAGTCTTATTTTCCCTTGTGAAGGCTTTCTGACCTCCCAACCAGGGTTTATCACATGTTTCTTTCTGTCTGCCCCTCTCTCTAAGTTTGCAATTGGCATCTTGACCCCTCACTTAGGGATCCTGACTCCCAATGGCAGCAGCACGTTCCTTGCTGTATTGATCATATCGCAAAACCCTCATGGGGTGAATGCATTTCTGAGAAAGCCCATCTGAATCACTGAGAGTGCTGCTGATGATAATAATGTAATATTATCATCTTAAGGTAACTTAAGGTAACCAAATATTGCCTAGGTGAGGTTCTTTGTGAATTTGCATTAAGGAGTAAAAACTTGTTTACTGAAAAACAGCTATTTCCAGCATGTTGAGCAATGTAAATATTTCCCTGAAATACTGCTTACAACATCAGTTCACACTGAGAAAAAGTTCCTTTAGCAAAGTTAAACTTCAGCTCACTATGTGGCTAGTAAAACTAAATGCCCCTTTACAGAACCATGTCTTCCCACTCACCCCAAGAAACACAACAAACAATACGGCTTTTCATCCAGCTGCCCTAGGGCAGAGCATGTCAATTAGATCACAAAAAAACCCAGGGTGAAAATGCCAAGCACCACATGGGTAACAGCTGGAACCACTTATGTACAATTGTTTCAACCCAACTGACAAGAAGGGGATGGACAGAGCACCTAACTTATAATGGGAGGGTGTTTCCCATCTTAGAAAGCACTTCCTGTCTCATTTCATCTTTAACGTGAACTTTCAGATAGCATGAATCACCGGAGAAAGTCTATATGCAGATGCTCAATAAATTTAAAATTTATGTTAGATTTCTTATGTCCAAATACTCCCTGAAAAAGTGAAACAACAGCCACTTGGCCGGGGGCTTAGATGAGCCTAGTAACAGGCTGCTTTCTGCAATAGTCTAGGGGGAGCCTTCTCCAAAACATGTGTGTTTAGAGAATACTTGAGGTAGAAACAAATAAGAAACAAACAGGGTCCTTTTACAAATACAAATCGCTGTACTGAGAAGACAGTGAGACTTGCAAAAGCAAACTCCATGGGTGAGAGGCAGCAGGAACTTAAAATAATTTAACATAAAGAGTGGAAATGCAGCAAACATGGGCTGTCACCTAATGTTGAGGTCCTTTACTAAGGCTCTTTTTATCTTTTAAAATTTCATGTGACAGGCATTTAGTACAACCATCCCTCTTTTCGCATACTTGAAACAGACAAGGAAATGATGAGAGATTTTAATTTAGCTTTAATGTCACACAGCCAGTAAGTGATAGAACCAAGAACGGAACACACATTTGCTGGAGTCCGTAACCCGTGCTCTTTCTGTTACACTTGGCTGCCTAGTTTAGAGACACTGGGGGCAAAAGTCATGCAAGTTGCAATGTTTTTTGGGATGGCTTCAAAGTTAGTGACTGGGTAGCTACAAAAAGCTGGAAAACAAAATGAGTCCAAAAAAAAGTAAAACACAAAAAGGAAGTCCAGAAAATAGGCAAGTCCGGGACACAATCAAGGTGGAGACTGATTAATTTCAGCCTAGAGCCCACAAGTGGACCTGGAGCCTAATCCGTTTGCAAGGTGCTTTACAGTTTACAAAGCATTTTTACTTTAGTTATCTCATTAAACCTAGTAAAGATTAATACCATTTTCATTCTTCATTTGAGAAAAAATGAGTTTTAGTTTATATAACTTGCCTAAGATCAAACACTAGAAGTGCCAGAACAGAACTCCAAGTCCAAATTGCAAGTGATCCCCATTAACCCCACAGAAGAAATGACTCTGGCATGAAATAGAAATAGAAACAAAAGGATTAGTAAATAAAGCTTAGGGACAATCTAAGGATTACTGGAAAGGGGTCCCGATCCAGACCCTCAGAAAGGGTTCTTGGATCTTGCACAAGAAAGAATTCAGGGCAAGTCCATAAAGTGAAAGCAAGTTTATTAAGAAAGTAAAGGAATAAAGAACAGCAGCCGGGCGTGGTGGCTCACGCCTGTAATCCCAGCACTTTGGGAGGCTGAGATGGGAGGATCACGAGGTCAAGAGATCGAGACCATCCTGGCCAACATGGTGAAACCCCGTCTCTACTAAAAATACAAAAATTAGCTGGGCGTGTTGGCATGTGCCTGTAGTCCCAGCTACTTGGGAGGCTGAGGTAGGAAAATTGCTTGAACCCAGGAGGTGGAGGTTGCAGTGAGCCGACATCGTGCCACTGCACTCCAGCCTGGTGACAGAGTGAGACTCAGTCTCAAAAAAAAAAAAAAAAAAAAAGAATTGTTACTCCATAGACAGAGCAGCCCCAAGGGCTGCTAGTAGCCCATTTTCATGGCTATTTCTTGATGATATGCTAAACAAGGGGTGGATTATTCATGCCTCCCCTTTTTAGACCATATAGGGTAACTTTCTGACATTTCCATGGCATTTGTAAAGTGTCATGGTGCTGGTGAGAGTGTAGTAGTGAGGATGACCAGAGGTCACTCTCATCGCCGTCTTGGTTTTGATAGGTTTGGCCGGCTTCTTTACTGCAACCTGTTTTATCAGGAAGGTCTTCATGACCTGTATCTTGTGCTGACCTCCTATCTCATCCTTTGACTTAGAATGCCTTAACCATCAGGGAATGCAGTCCAGTAGGTCTCAGCCTCATTTTACCCAGCGCCTGTTCAAGATGGAATTGCTCAGTTCACATGCCTCTGACATAAGGGTAATAGAGATGAGTCAATATTTTCAACTTAATCCAGTTAATGTCCAAGTGACTTTGGATCAGTTACCCCTCTCTTCTGCAGAAAATTTCTACCTGAGATTACTTTCCAACATTTAAAAATGGTTGGGGCTTTTCCGATGGTAGTGGGTTATCTGAACTTATTAGCATTAGTATCACTAAAGTTGATATACAAACCCCCCAGGCTAAATTAGACTGGGCAAAAAAAAAAAAAATCTGTTGGGTTCTTTAAATTTTAACTACGGGTGTGTCTATCAAAGAAGTAGCCCTTGAGGATGCAACACCAAGGGCCTTGGGGTGTGAGACCCCCAATCTCTGGGGAGACACATGTTTCTCCTTAACAACCTGAATATAGATATCAGAAGTTTACCTGTGGCAATTGGAGCCTAGTACTGTATTACACAAATTCCTTAACTTAAACATAAAAAATTACAGGAGAAGAGTTCAGCATTTATCTGCCTTTCCAGAATGAACAGTATATCAGTGTTACCCAAAAGTCATGGTTGATGAGGAAAACCTCTTTACAGAATATGCCAGCTAATAAATGCAGAAAGAATGACAGAAACAAGCAACCAGCAAAATAAAATAAAACATCATCCTGCAAACTTTAATTTAATTACTGTTTCAGGCAAAGATCATCGATAGATGCTAAAACCATTAGGTGAAAGATTAGTGGGCAGGAAATAGATGATAAGGCCAAAATGAGTGTCACCCCGTAGCTCAGTTGCTGCTCACCTGGGGAAAAATATAACTTCACAGGCATGATCTGGCTGTAATCTCCTTAACACCAGGTATTAATCTTAGCGTGGCAAGCCAAGCAATAACCAGACATCACTTGCCGGCTAATGTTATCCAATGTGAAAAATACAGCTTCGTTTATGAAGGATTCTTCTCTTTTTTTTGTTTTTTTTGAGACAAAGTCTCAGTCTCACTCTGTTTCCCAGGCTGAGTGCAATGGCGCGATCTTGGCTTACTGCAACCTCCACCTCCCAGGCTCAAGAGATTCTCCTGCCTCAGCCTCCTGAGTAGCTGAGATTACAGGTGCACGCCACCACACCTGGCTGTTTTTCGTATTTTTAGTAGAGATGAGGTTCCACCATGTTGGCCAGGCTGGTCTCATTTATGAAGTATTCTTGTTGAAAGATGAGGCCCTTCTCAACAATTAAAAAAAAAACACGATTTTTTTTTAATGACCAAAGGATTTGAACAGGCATTTCTCCAAAGAAGAAACACAAACGGCCAATGAGCACATGAAAAGATTCTCAACATCATTAGCCATCAGAGAGATGCAAATCAGATTCACAACACAGCACTTCACACCCACTGGGATGGCCATAAATCAAAAAGTCAGAAATAAGAAATGTTGGTGAGGACGTCGAGAAATCGGAACCCTCATATATTGTTGGTGGGAATGTCAGATGGTGCTGTCGCTTTGGAAAACACTTTGACAGTTCCTCAAAATATTAAACATAGAGTTACCATATGACCCAGGAATTCCAGTCCTAGGTATATACCCAAGAGAAATGAAACTTATATCTACACATTTGCATGTATACCTCTTCTCGAAATGCAGTTTGTCTCAAAGACACCTTTTTATGGCCGATTTGTCTTAATCAGGCTGAAACAAAGTCCTCACTTGCATTTGGTCAGCAAGCCTCTGAAGTCTCTTTTGATCCACACCAGGTCTCCCTCCTTCTTTTTCCCCACCATGCCATTTATTTGTTGAAGAGAATGATAATCTTTTAAAGTTAAATCGTGTCAGCCATCTACTTAGAAATCTCTAATGGCCGGGCATGGTGGCTCATGCCTGTAATCCCAACACTTTGGGAGGCCAAGGCGGGCGGATCACCTGAGGTCAGGAGTTAGAGACCAGCCTGACCAACATGGAGAAACCCCGCCTCTACTAAAAATACAAAATTAGCCAGGCATGGTGGTGCGCGCCTGTAATCCCAGCTACTCGGGAGGCTGAGGCAGGAGAATCTCTTGAACCTGGGAGGCGGAGGTTGTGGTGAGCTAAGATTGAGCCACTGTACTCTAGCCTGGGCAACAGAGCAAGACTCTGTCTCAAAAAAAAAAAAAAAAAAAAAAAGAATAACCAAAAACTGATATTTAGCATTTCCTTTAATTATGAATGCAGGCAACAAAGCAGTCACTAATAGAAGTCACAGATATTTTCATATCACATCATAGTTGCTGCATGTGTCTCAGAATATTGCTCATGATCTTCAAAGTTCAATCGTTACCTGAACTGCCCTTGGATCCACTGCTACACCTTGTTATTTAATGTTGTTAAAAGTAAGCATATAGGCCAGGCGTGGTGGCCCACACCTGTAATCCCAGCACTTTGGGAGGCGGAGGTGGGTGAATCACGAGGTCAGGAGTTCAAGACCAGCCTGGTCAACATGGTGAAATCCCGTCTATACTAAAAATGCAAAAATTAGCCAGGCATGGTGGTGCGTGCCTATAGTCCCACCTACTCAGGAGGCTGAGGCAGGAAAATCGCTTGAACCTGGGAGGTGGAGGTTACAGTGAGCCAAGATCTCGCCACTGCACTCCAGCTTGTGCAACAGAGTGAGACTTCATCTCAAAAAAAAAAAAAAAAAAAAAAGTAAGCATATATTGGGCCAGGCATGGTGGCTCATGCCTGTAATCCCAGCACTTTGGGAAGCTGAGGTGGGCAGATCATCTGAGGTCAGGAGTTCAAGACTAGCCTGGCCAACATGGTGAAACCATGTCTCTACTTAAAATACAAAAATTAGCCAAGTGTGGTGGCAGTCATCTGTAATCCCAGCTACTCAGGAGGCTGAGGCAGGAGAATCATTTGAACCCAGGAGGTGGAGGTTGCAGTGAGCTGAGATTGTGCCACTAAACTCCAGGCTGGGGGATAGAGAGAGACTCTGTCTCAAAAAAAAAAATAAATAAATAAATAAATAAATAAAGTAAGCATATAAGCATATATAGTACATAAGAGCATAAGATGTGTGTTTTTTTAATATTTTGATCTGTATTTCAACATAATTGCCTTCCTTGGTCATCTTGTGGATTTTATTTTATGCATTTAAAACTTTATACTGCCCAGCATGGTGACACTCGCCTGTGGTCCCAGCTACTCAGGAGGCTGAGGCCAGAGGACAGCTTGAGCCAAGGAGTTGGAGGCTGCAGTGACCCAAGATCGCACCGCTGCACCCAGCCTGGGCAACAGAGCAAGACCTCGTCTCTCTAAAAACTAAAATAAAAGCGTTATACTGAAAAGGGATCCACAGGCTTCACCAGTGTGCAAAGGGGCCAGGGCAGTCAACCAACATGGGGGAGGGCTCTTTGTGGATCCAGACTTGAAGGGCTCATTCGTTTTAGGCAAAGCCTACAAGTTCCACGTGAGTGTTGTCTAAGGCGCAGTGTTCCCAGGCCAGACCGGGAGCACAGCCATTTCACGGGCAGGACAGGCTGCAGCCGCTGCGTTTGCAGTTCCAACCCCCTTCCCCCGGCCAACCCCCCACACTTCTGGAATGCACACAAGCCTTATATGAAATCCACATGGTGGGCGGCCGAGGAAGGCAGCGGCACGAAAGGACTTCAACAAGTTGACAGCGACCCCAGGCCCGGCCAGTCACGGGGAGGATCCAGGGAGCTGTAGGTCATCTGGTCCCGCTCCTCGTTTGGGGCCTCCGTGGTGACAATGCCTGGCCACAGGAAATGGGATCACTGGGAGCCCTGTGTTTCCCGCTCTGGACTCTGGACTCTGAAACGAGCCCAACTGGAAAGCAGCATCACTGCCAAGACACATCCGGAGTCCACACACAAATACAGGAGGCTGCCGGCGAAACTCTCCCGCAGCCACAAGAGTCCCGGGGCCCGCGCGCAGACTGCGATCCAGCTCCGGCTCTTGCCCTGCGGAGGCTCCGCGCGAGAACCTGGCTCCACCCGGGACCGGCCAGGTCCTAGCCCCGAAGGGACTGGACAGCCGAGGGACGCGGACTGACCTCCCTGCGGCGATGCAGCCCACAGCCGCCGGGGAGGAAGCTCCGCGGGGTCCATGGGTGCCGGGGTCACGGCCCGGGGCGCGCGGAGCCACCCAGACCCCGCGACCCGCTCTTCGGATAGCAGGGACCGGGTCGGGAAGACCTTCGCGGACCCTGCAGAGGCGGGAGACCCTGCGCCGTGCCCGGTGCCCCGGCGGCCAGCGGGTCCGGGTCCCCGCCTGCTACGCCCAAGTCCGTCCGGCTCCACGGGCGCCCCCGGCCCGCCGCGCCCTGCAGCCCCTCGCCCGCCCTCCCGGGGCTCACTCACGTAGACTGCGTCGATGTCGGATCTGTCGTAGAAGCGGAGCGCCCCACTCAGCTCCAGGGCAGGAGAGACGAAGTCATCCCCGTCCTCCAGCTCCAGGTCCCCCTGTCCGGGGCCGAAGGGAAAGAGCTCCTGGCGGCTCAGGCAGCCCACAGGCCCCGCCAGCAGCAGCGGCAGCAGCAGCGCCCGCGTCCACGCAGCCCGGATCCGGCTGCTCGAGGCCAACATGTTCCCGAACTGCGGTCCCGCAAACCCGGTCCCGCGGCCAGGACAGAGGAAGGCGGGGATGTAACCGGACGCCCCTGGCAGCCCCCTCTCCTCCCGCCTCCCGGCGTTCCCACCCCGGGAAATAGGGGAGGGGAGCGGAGGGGAGAGCGGAGGGCCCCGCCCCGTCCAGCGGGCGCGCCGCGGGGCAGCCCAATGGCCGCGAGGGGGAGGGCGAGGGGCGAAGCCGAACCTCCCGCCTTGGGCGCCGGTGCCTGCGATTCTCGAAACCAGCCCGACTCCCAGCGAACGGCGCCTCCGGGAGGGGGAGCAGAGCGCGGGACCCGCACCGTGGTCCTCTGATTAGGGTTGGGTCGTGGAGAGCCGGCGACGTGGAAACGCTCCGGATTCAGGAACGGCGCCCACCCCATTGCCGCTCGGCCGCGTCCGGGGTCCAATTCGCTTGACCCTGGTAGGAAGACGGGGTGGGAGCTGGGAATCAGCCAAGGGACAGAGCCACCAACACGTTCATGGGCTCATCCACCCATTCATTGCGCGTTTTTTGAGTGCCTGATCCTGTGCTCCCTATTGTGGAGGTTCGCCAGGAAACGGGGTCTCACCCTCCGAGGCAAAGTCACCAGTGTACAACACAAGCCAGTGTCAGATGGGGGCCCCAAGTCATCAAAGACATTAGGGCTGGAAAAACTGGCGGGGAAAGCTGCAGGTGGGACGGCGGGAATCAACCCGGGTGCTCTGGAAGGAATGGGATGTCATCAGGCGGCAGAGAAGGGAGGTGGAGGACCGAGCTGGGTTTATTCAGGGCACCATCCCCCAGCAGAGGATGTGGGGAGGGACCGGTTGAAGTACAGCCTTGAATCACAAATTTAGGAATTTGAATTCGCTCTGTCACTCGGAGAAGAAACTATTGAAAGTTCTTGACAAAGGGAGATAAGCGATTTAAGTGGTATCCTGAATAATCGGTTGATCGTTACTTTGGCACTAGGGTGAAAGTAGAGACAGGTAAGTTATTAGAGGACCAAGTCTAAAACATTGAAATGAAAGAAGGAGCAAATCCTGATTATAAGATTGGCATTGAAGAGGAGAAGAAACGAAGTTAAAATTGAGTTCAAGGGTTTGCACTTGGAGGACTGGAAAACCAGTACTGCCTTTTGACGTCAGGGAAGAGGATCTGGGACAGCTGGAGTTGGATATGTTTGATGTCAGACCTATCAGCGGTCAACAGGACGTCCCCGTTTCCTGTCAGCAGCTAAAAGTAACGACCTTGAACCTAGTTTATAATAATTTTTCAGAAAACAGCAAATTCTGTATAAAATTTAGGGGGCATGAGTTCTGAACCAGCAAAGACAGGAAGAAAAAGCAAAGGAAACATGCCTTCTAAGCAAAACACTTTTGATTTACTCATGAGAACTTGTCTTTTTCTTTTGAATTCATTCGCCATCAGAAATAACATTTATTACCCATCAGAGACAGCATGTGTTCTACAAGTATTCATTCATTTTGCACTCACAGTAACCCTAGGAAACAGACCTTCCCTGTTTTACAGAGAAGGGGCATAGAGGCCCAGAGAGGTTAAGTCATGTTGCTAAGGTCATGCAGCTGGGAGCCGGTAAGTGACCCTAGGTGTTCCAGCTGCAAGGACCCCACTTATAACCACTGCATTAAGTGCCCTCTGTTTACTACCTTTTACTGCAGCCTGCAGTCTGTTGTCAAATATGGTGCTTTTCCTTCAGTTCCCTCCCAACAATACAGCACTGTGAGCCCCCAGCCTGCTCCCCAGAAGCACTTCTGACTCTACTCTATGCCATCTGTGTTTCTGACTATTTCTGGGCTTCTGGGCCCCAGCACTGCCTGTTTCAGCTGCTACAGGATCTCTGTATGGAGATTCTTCTCTATCTTCACCCGCACGTGACACGGGCCCCACGACTTCCCCATGCCCTGTGGTTGAGGGAAACCCCAAGCTCAGTAGGCCTTTTTTGGCCTGTGCCTTCAACACTCCTCCTTCAAAAAACCCCACCCCAGCCTCTGTCACACATCAGAGCTGTCTCTGAAGCTGTAGTCTGTGCCTGGAATGCTCTTACCCTTCTCACGAATTCTCTCCCTTTTTGGTACTCAGGCAGCTTCTGAAACTCCTATTGGTCCATCCATGGGACTTTCCTCAGCAACTACAGGAGGAGAGCAGTTCTCTACTTTGCTGGTTCAGCACAGCCTGAATCCAACCTGGCTGAGGTCAAGGCTCTCCATTTACTGGCTGTATAAGCACGGGCAGGTTTCTAAGCTTCAATATCCTTGTCACTTGTATGGGATGTTCATAGTTAAAATCGAAGGATTGTCGTGAGGATTAGATAAGGTGATTCATTAAATGCTCCTAGCTGGGCACAAAGTAAGTATTCCGTTAATATCAAACCATCGTTGTTACCTAAATGTACAGTTTTCGTGATTCTTATTATGTCAATATTTACTGAGAATCTACCATGAGCCAGATTCTATACTAGAAATTCAAAATGCCAAGACCGTTAAGGCACAGTCCTTTCTTTGAGAAGCTCACAATCTATCAGGGAGACAAACACAACAATAACAGTGCGATGCTTTAAGAAATACACAAACCAACAAGAGATATCGCTTGTTGAATGCTGCTTCTGCTAGATGCTTAATGTAGCATTCAATTTAATACTAATAACTGCACAAGCTAGTAGCCCTATGTAGTGAAAACAAGGTTTGCAATGATTAGATAACTTGCCCAGTTTTACACAGGTAGTGAAAGAGCTAGGATTTGAATCCAGTTTGTCCGACACCAAAGCTATTATTCTTTCTGCCGCGCCATCCTGCCCATCTATGGAAGGAAAGGTTTCTCCCTTTATTTCCACCCACAAGATCTATTTGCTCCATTGTTTATACATAATGCTCACGATCTATCTGTGCATGCTTGTGCTCCTTTATTTCATCAGTATCTCTTGGCCTGAGTAAGTCCAGTATATACGGTAAATTCTCTGTCATTTACTATTTATAGCCCTGCACTCGCCTCACATTGCCCAGTCCTTGTAGGACGTAATATTGATGCTGTGTCTCCTACTAGGACAGTGTGTCCCTGTCACTCCTTTAGAATTAGTAGTTCCAAACACATTCATCATCGAATACTTACTTTTATATTGTGCTCTGGACATTTTCTAAGTGTATATAATAATTCGGTCTTTTTCTCTAGTCATTTCGTATGTTTTTCGGGGATAAGAGCTCATTGGGGGCAAGGCCCATGTGCTTTATTTGTTTTCCTGACTTCGCAGAGCCTAGCCCAATGCTGCATACACATTAATAATGTGCACAGTTCTTAACCATTTAAGAACTCACTGATATGTTTAAGAATCATCTGATATCTGCAGTACCAATGGTACCCATAATTCTGTAATATACCAGCTTTAAAAAAAAATGAAACCTTGCTCTTTTGAGATTTATACTCTTTTCTTGATGGCTGTCATCCTGATGAGGCAGAAACACAAAATTTAAGAAGCAGGTCTCAGGCTGTGTGTCTATAAGAAGCCACGGTAACTTTTCTTTTTTTGTGTGTTTGATTTTTGAGATGGAGTCTCCCTCAGTCACCCAGGCTGGAGTGCGGTGGCGTGATCTCGGCTCACTGCCACCTCCACCTCCCAGTTTCAGGTGATTCTCCTGCCTCAGTCTCCTGAGTAGCTGGGATTACAGGCATGCCACCACGCCCGACTAATTTTTGTATTTCTAGTAGAGATGGGATTTCATCATGTTGGCCAGGCTGGTCTCGAAGTCCTGACCTCAGGTGATCCTCCTGCCTCAGCCTCCCAAAGTGCTGGGATTACAGTTGTGAGCCACCACACCCGGCCCCAAGGTAACTCTTCTCTCTGACGATTCAGACAAAAGTCCAGGCAGCTGAGTGGGAAAATAGCTCAATTGGCTATTGCTCTGAAGGAGGCATTTGTTCTAATCTCACTCTCCTGTGAGGATTGGTAACTGACCATGTATGGCCATGGAGCTTTCTTTTATTTTCCAGATGTCATATAGATGTGAATGTATTAGTGTTCCAATTCCAGGGAATTCGCCTAATTCATGAATTTTTTTTTTAATTTTATTTGAGACGGAGTCTCGCTCTGTTGCCCAGCGTGGAGTGCACTGGCGCGATCTCGGCTCACTGCAAACTCCGCCTCCTGGGTTCACGCCATTCTCCTGCCTCAGCCTACCGAGTAGCTGGGACTACAGGCGCCCGCCACCACGCCCGGCCAATTTTTTTTTTTTTTTTTTTTTTTTTTTTTTGTATTTTTAGTAGAGACGGGGTTTCACCATGTTAGCCAGGATGGTCTTGATATCCTGACCTCGTGATCCGCCCACCTCGGCCTCCCAAAGTGCTGCAATTACAGTCGTGAGCCACCGAGCCCGGCCAATTCATGAGTATTTTAAACAACCCACACTCAATTGTGATCTCAGATAAAAATGACACCCTTGGCCGGGGGCGGTGGCTCAAGCCTGTAATCCCAGCACTTTGGGAGGCCGAGGCGGGCGGATCACGAGGTCATGTGATCGAGATCATCCTGGCTAACACGGTGAAACCCCGCCTCTACTAAAAAAATACAAAAAATTAGCCAGGCGTGGTGGCGGGCGCCTGTAGTCCCAGCTACTCGGGAGGCTGAGGCAGGAGAATGGCATGAACCCGGGAGGCGGAGCTTGCAGTGAGCCTAGATCGCGCCACTGAACTCCAACCTGGGCGACAGAGCGAGACTCTGTCTCAAAAAACAAAACAAAACAAAACAAAACAAAAAAACACTCTGACAAAGGATGAGAGTGAAGCAGGATTTGGTGTTCACTTTATTCTGTTTTCAAAGGCGATTAGGATAAAAAGTACCTTGGGAAAACACAATTATGTCCACCTATGTTTGGGAAGATGCCAAGCTTTTCAGGGTAAAGTTTAATTCCTATAGTTCTACATCCTGTTTTCCCATGAACGTTTTCCTGGTTCATTATCATCAGACCTCCAGCATTCACTGCTGGGGTTCCACTTGCCTTTTGTTGTTATTTTAATTTTTAATCTTGATTTATGTAATTTTCAACCTTACATAAAAATTGCAAAAATAATACAAAACGATTCCATATACCCTTATATTCCCATATCCCATATACTCAGATTTTCCTTAATATTAACATTTTGCCATGTTTGCTTTCTCTCTGTCTTTCTCTCTCTCTGTCTGTCTCTCTCTCCACACACTCACACATGCATGCACACACACACAGACACATCGATACATATATATATACATAAATTTTTATCTGGACCATTGAGGGTAAGTTGCAAACATGATACCTCTTTACCTCTGAATGCTTAAGTATATGCTTCTTTAAAACTAGAACATTCTCTCACCTAGCCATAACACAATTGCCAAAATAAGGAAATTAACATTGATATCATACTATAATCTAATTGACAGCTCTTATTCAGAGTTCACCAGATGTCAATATAATGTCTTTTAATAGCAAAAGAAAATACCAGATTACAAACTGCATTCAGTTGTCATGCACTTTCAGTCTTCTTCAACTTGAAAGAGTTCCTCAGTCATTCCTGATCTTTCATGACCTTAACTTTTTTTTTAGAGATGAGATCTAGCTATGCCGAGGCTGGAGTGCAGTGGCTATTCACAGATGTGATCACAGCATGCTATAGCCTCAAACTCCTGGACTCAAATGATCCTCTCACCATAGCCTCTCTAGTAGCTGGACTACAGGGACAAGCCATTGAGCCTGGCCCTTGACATTTTTTAAGAGGACAGACCAGTTATTTTGTAGGCTGTCCCTCAGTTTGGGTTTGTCTGGTGTTTCCTTCATAATTAGATCAGATTTTGCATAAATTTTGGCAGCAGTAACAGAGAAGTGATATTGTGTCCTTCCTAGTGCAACATATCAGGAGGAACATGTCCATTTGTCCTAATGCTGATAGTGTTTACTTTGATCACCTGGTACATTTATACCTCCTAATTTCTCCACTGTAAAATTACTAGGTTTTCTTTTCTAATTAATAAATATATTGGAAACAGATAATTGGAAACTACATAAATATTCTCTTTCATTAAACTTTTACCCTCTAATTTTAACCCCATTAATGACTCTTACTAGAATCAATTGTTATTGTAATGGTTGCAAATATTTTTCTCTCTTCAGTTACTGAAAAAGAATTTTATTTGGTAAACTACACATACATAATATCTCCCATCTTAACCATTTTTAAGTGTAGAGTTCAATCGTATTACATTCAATGTATCAAATGGTAGTACATTCATACTGTTTTGCAACCATCACCATCATCCATCTCTAGAACTCTTTTCATCTCACAAAACTGAAACTCTGTACCCATTAAACAATACTTCCCATCCCTCCCTCCCTCAGCCTCTGGCGACCACCATTCCACTTTCCATCTCTAAGAATTTAACTACTCTAGATGTTATATTAATGGAATAAGACACTATTTGTCTTTTTGTGACTGGCTTATTTCACTTTGCATAATGTCCTCAAGGTTCATCCATATTGTAGCATGTGTCAGAATTTCCTCCCTTTTTTAGGTTGAATAATATTTCATTGCATAGGCTGGGTGTTGTGGCTCACATCTGTAATCTCAGCATTTTGGCAGGCCAAGGCAGGTGGAGCCTAGGAGTTTGAGACCAGCCTGGGCAACATGGTGAAACCCCATCTCTACAAAAAATACAAAAATACAAAATTTACAAAATACAAAAATTAGCCAGGCATGGTGGTGTGCACCTGTAGTCTCAGCTACTGGGGAGGATGAGGTGGGAGGATCGCTTGAGCCTGGAAGGTCAAGGCTGCAGTGAGCTGTGATCATGCCACTGCACTCCAGCCTGGGTAACAGAGTGAGATCCTGTCTCAAAAAAGAAAAAATAAATAAATAATTGTATGTATGTAGTGCCTCATTTTGCTTATCCGTTAATCTGTGTGTGGACATATGTGTTGCTTTCATGTTTGGCTATTGTGAATAATGCCGCTTTAAACATGTATGGACAAATATTTCTTCAAGACCCTGTTCACAATTCTTTTGGGTGTATACCCAGAAGGGAAATTGCTAGATCATGCGGTAATTCTATTTTTAATTTTTTGAGGAACTGCCATACTGTTTTCCGTGGCAGCTGTACCATTTTACATTCCCACCACCAGTGTACAAGCATTCTAGTTTCTCTACGTAC
This sequence comes from Homo sapiens, assembly GCF_000001405.40. Classification (NCBI taxonomy): domain Eukaryota; kingdom Metazoa; phylum Chordata; class Mammalia; order Primates; family Hominidae; genus Homo; species Homo sapiens. Next base: position 236,072,279 of record NC_000001.11, read on the forward strand.
TTTGACAACACTTACTATTTTATATTTTTTAATAGTAGCCATCTAATGGGTATGAGGTGATATCTTATTGTGGTTTTGATTTGCATCTCTCTAATGATTGGGGATATTGAGCATCTTTTCAAGGGCTTATTGGCCATTCATACATCTTGTTTGGAGATATGTCTATTCACGTCTTTGTTCATTTTCAATCAGGTTGTTTGGTGTTTTTGGCAGTGGTGGTCATTTTTAAAGTTTTCAATTTGAAAAATTTCAGGCTGGCACGGTGGCTGATGCCTGTAATCCCAGCACTTTGGGAGGCCGAGGAGGACGGATCACCTGAGGTCAGGAGTTCGAGACCAGGCTGGCCAACATGGCAAAACCCCGTCTTTACTTAAATACGAACATTAGTCAGGCGTGGTGGCATGCATCTGTAATCCCAGCTACTTGGGAGACTGAGGCAGGAGGATCACTTGAACCCAGGAGGCGGAGGTTGCAGTGAACCGAGATCGTGCCACTGCACCACAGCCTGGGCAACAGAGTAAGACTCCATCTCAAAAAAAAAAAAAAAAAAAAAAGGTGTGGTGCACGGTGGCTCACACCTGTAATCCCTGCATTTTGGGAGGCCGAGGTGGGCGGATCACAAGGTCAGGAGTTCAAGACCAGCCTGGCCAATGTAGTGAAATCCCGCCCCTACAAAAAATACAAAAAAAATTAGCCAGGCATGTTGGCAGGCACCTGTAGTCCCAGCTACTTGGGAGGCTGAGGCAGGAGAATCGCTTGAACCCGGGAGGCGGAGGTTGCAGTGAGCCAAGATTGCGCCACTGCACTCCAGCCTAGGTGACACAGCAAGACTCTGTCAAAAAAAAAAAAAAGAAAGAAAGAAAGAAAAAAAAAAGAAAGGAAAGAAAAAGAAAGAAAGAAAAGAAAGAAAGAAAGAAAGAAAAGAAAGAATTGATTTCAAACCCTCAGAAAATTTGGTGAAAAAAAAAAATACATCCAAATGCACCAATTACTGGACATAGAGGTTCAGGCCTATACTCCCAGCATTTTGGGAGGCAGAGACAGGAGGATCACTTGAGGTCAGGAGTTCAAGGCCAGCTTGAATAACATAGTGGTACCCGTCTCTACAAAAAAAACAAAAAAAAATTTGCTTTAATTAGCCACGGGTGGTGGCATGTGCCTTGAGTCCCAGCTACTTGGGAGGCTGAGGCAGGAGATCACTTGGGCTCAGGAGTTTGAGGCTGCAGTGAGCTCTGACTGTGCTACTGCACTTTAGCCTGGGCATGAGAGTGAGACTCTGTCTCAAAAATCAAATGAAAACCAAATGCACCAATTGTTAACATTTTGCCATATTTGCTTTACCTCTTTGAACCTCTCTGTATGTTCTTATTGTTATTTGCATAATCATTTGAGTCAGTTGCAGATATCATGACCCTTCATGCCTAAATACTTGTACATAGGCCTCCTAAGAACAAAGACTCTCTTTATAACCACAGTGTACTAATCGTACGTAGCAAACACAATTCTATTGTCTAAATATACAATCTGTATTCAAATTTTACCAGTTGTTCCAATAACCTTTTTAGTTATATTTTTAAAAAATGATCCTCTAACCCAAGATCATGCATTGCATTTTGTGATTTTCTTTCTTTCTTTCTTTCTTTCTTTTTTTCTTTCTTTCTTTCTTTCTTTTTCCTTCCTTCCTTTCTTTTTTCCTTTTTTGAGACGGAATCTTGCTCTGTCTCCCAGGCTGGAGTGCAATGGTGTGATCTTAGCTCACTGCCATGTCCACCTCCCAGGTTCAAGGGATTCTCCTGCCTCAGCCTCCCAAGTAGCTGGGATTACAGGTGTGCACCACCATGCCTGGCTAATTTTTGTATTTTTAGTAGAAATGGGGTTTCGCCATGTTGGCCAGGATGGTCTCGAACTCCTGACCATGTGATCTGCCCGCCTCAGCCTCCCAAAGTGCTGGGATTACAGGCGTGAGCCGCTGCACCTGGCCTGTCCTGTCTCTTTATTCTTGGTTAAATTGGAATAGTTTCTTGGCCTTTCTTTCTTGTTCATGTTATTGACATTTGTTAAAACAGGCCAGTTGTTCTGTGGATTTCTCAATTCAGGTGTGTCTAATTGTTCTCTTATAATTAGATCAGGGTTATGCAATCTGGCAGGAATGCTACAAAACTCACGGGGTGTCCTTCTCAGCGCATCTCATCAGGAGATCCATGATGCCACTGTGTCCCGTTACTGCTGCAGTTAATGTTGATTGATTGATTCGAGTGATATCTGCCAGGTTTCTTTACGTGACTCTTTTAAAAAGTAAATTTACTTAGTAATATTTCCTTAAATTCCAAAATTATTACTATTATTACCAACAAAGGCATTATCTTTCATATTCTTAGAGTTTTAAAGCATCTACATATTATTTAATTCCATTTTGGAATAATGGAATTTTTAATTCTGTTGATATCAAATTTTAAGTTGATATCCATTTTCTCCTAAATATTTTCTCTCCAAAATCATTTTTGAAACAGCATTTTTATAACTATGCTATATCCCAGGACAATATTACAAGAAGGTATTAGGAGGTTAATCTTTTTGTTTGTTTGTTTTGAGATGGAATTTCGCTCTTGCTGCCAGGCTGAAGTGCAATGGCGCAATCTCAGCTCACCACAACCTCCACGGTTCAAGTTCCGCGGTTGAACTCCCAGGTTCAAGCGATTCTCCTGCCTCAGCCTCCCAAATAGCGGGGATTACAGACATGCGCCACCACCCTCAGCTAATTTTGTATTTTTAGTAGAGACAGGTTTCTCCATATTGGTCAGGCTGGTCTTGAACTCCTCACCTCAGGGTGATCCTCCCACCTCGGCCTCCCAAAGTGCTGGGGTTACAGGTGTGAGCCACCTTGCCCAGCCAGGAGGTTAATCTTAAAAGCATATATTTATGGCTTCTCAGTACCTGTTGTTAATTGTCTTATTCTAACAATGCACTCCCATAGGTTAATTGGATCAGTCTTAATAACCCATACTGACCATTTATTCATCAATTAATATTTATTGAGACCTCACTATGTACCTGGCACAGTGCTAGACATTAAAGGCACACCTAAGAACAAAATATGGTCACTGTTCTCTTGAAGATTACATTCTTATGGGGAAAGACAGACACTAAAGGAATGAATAAGCAATTATATAATGTGTCAGATGGAGATAAAGAAAAGTGCCATAGAAAAAAATTAATTCACGTAAGAACTTACAGAGTGGAGGCTGGGCACGGTGGCTCACGCCTGTAATCCCAGCACTTTGGGAGGCCAAGGCGGGCAGATCACCTGAGGTCAGGAGTTCGAGATCAGCCTGGCCAACATGGCGAAACCCAGTCTCTACTAAAAAATGCAAAAATTAGCCAGGCGTGGTGGTGGGCACCTGTAATCCCAGCTACTTGAAGGCTGAGACAGTAGAATCGCTTGAACCCGGGAGGCGGAGGTTGCAGTAAGCCGAGATCACACTATCGCACTCCAGCCTGGCTGACATAGTAAGACTCTGTCTCAAAAAAAAAAAAAATAAAAAAAGCTTACATTATAGAGTGATGTGGTTGGGTGTGAGAGGTGCAATTTTATTTTGGTATATCAGGAAAGTTCTCTATAATCTCTTCAATACCTTTGGGGCAGAGTCCTAAGAAGTGAGGGAGTGAACCGACTGGGTAGGTTAAGGGAACAGCTGAGGCCGCATTTGGTCCTGGGGACCACAGGTGCAAAGTTCTTGAGCACGAGTGAGCTGCCAAAGGTTGGCAAGAGAGCCAGGTGGGTGGAGCAGGGTAAGTGAGAGATAGACCCCTTGGCCCCACAGGCCATAGTAAGGACTTTGGACAGCATCTGAAAATAGTTCAATGGGCAATAGCAAAAGCAGAAAGAATCAGCCAAATTTACAGAATACGTATTTTCATGAGTTAGTTAAATTGCTGCCTTTGGTTATGGAAAACATTGAAGATAGTACAAACCTAGCAAAAGACAGCCAAGAAAGAATTCCAGTGCAAGACTAAATGAGATATTATCATTGGAAAGGTAGAAAGAAAAATCGCAAAATGCTATTGTCTTCTCATTGAACTTAAGTACAGTAACCTATAATCTACTGCTTGTTCTAAAAATGCAGATTTGTTCCACCTGGATGACATACAGGCATACCTCAGAGATATTGCAGACTCAGTTCCAGACCAGTGCAATAAAGCAAATATAGCAATCAAGTGAAATTACACAAATGTTTTGGTTTCCCAGTGCATATCAAAGTTATGTTTAGCTGTAAAATCTCTGGAAGAAAACCTAAGTAATACCATCCTGGACATAGGAGCAAGCAAAGATTTAATGACAAAGATAGCAAAAGCAATCACAACAAAAGCAAAAATTGACAAATGGGATCTAATTAAACTTAAGAGCTTCTGCACAGCAAAAGAAACTATCAACAGACTAAACAGACAACCTACAGAATGGGAGAAAATATTGGCAAACTACACATCTGACAAAAGTCTAATATCCAGCATCTATAAGGAACTTAAACAAATTTACAAGACAGGCTGGGCACGGTGGCTCATGCCTGTAATTTCAGCACTTTGGGAAGCTGAGGTGGGCAGATCACCTGAGGTGAGGAGTTCAAGACCAGCCTGGGTAACATGGAGAAACCCTGTCTCTACTAAAAATACGAAAATTAGCCAGGTGCAATGGCATGCACCTGTAATCCCAGCTACTCAGGAGGCTGAGGCAAGAGAATCGCTTGAACCTGAGAGGCAGAGGTTGCAGTGAGCCATGATTGTGCCACTACATTCAAGCCTGGGGGACAGAGTGAGAGCCCATTTCAAAACACACACACACACACACACACACACATTTATAAGACAAAAACAAACTACCCCATTAAAAAGTGGGCAAAGAACATGAAAAGACACTTTTCAAAAGAAGACATATGGGCCGGGCGCGGTGGCTCATGCCTGTAATCCCAGCACTTTGAGAGGCCAAGGTGGGTGGATCACCTGAGGTCGGGAGTTCAAGATCAGCCTGACCAACATGGAGAAACCCGTCTCTATTAAAAATACAAAAATTAGCCAGGCATGGTGGTGCATGCCTGTAATCCCAGCTATTTGGGAGGCTGAGGCAGGAGAATTGCCTGAACCCAGGAGGCGGAGATTGCAGTGAACCAAGATCGTGTCATTGCTCTCCAGTCTGGGCAACAAGTGTGAAACTCTGTCTCAAAAAAAAAAAAAAAAAAAAAAAGAAGGCCAGGCGCGGTGGCTCATGCCTGTAATCCCAGCACTTTGGGAGGCCAAGGCGGGTGGATCACGAGGTCAGGAGATCGAGACTATCCTGGCTAACACAGTGAAACCCCGTCTCTACTAAAAATACAAAAAAATTAGCCGGGCGTGGTGGCGGGTGCCTGTAGTCCCAGCTACTCTGGAGGCTGAGGCAGGAGAATGGCATGAACCCGGGAGGCAGAGCTTGCAGTGAGCCGAGATCCCACCACTGCACTCTAGCCTGGGTGACAAAGTGAGACTCCATCTCAAAAAAAAAAAAAAAAAAAAAAAAGACATACATGTGGCCAACGATCATAAAGAAAAAATCTCAACATCACTGATCATTACAGAAATGGAAATCAAAGCCACAATGAGATACCATCTCACACCCGTCAGAATGGCCATCATTAAAGTCAAAAAATAACAGATGCTGGCAAGGTTGAAGAGAAAAGGGAACATTTATACTCCGTTGGTGGGAATCTAAATTAGTTCAACCATTGTGGAAAGCAGTATGGCGATTCCTCAAAGAGCTAAAAGCAGAACTACCGTTCAACCCAGCAATCCCATTACTGGGTATATACCCAGGGGAATATAAACCATCCTACCATAAAGACACATGCACGTGAACGTTCATAGCAGCATGATTCGCAATAGCAAAGTCATGGAATCAACCTAAATGCCCATCAATGACAGATAGGATAAAGAAAATATGGTACATATACACCAAGGAATACTATACAGCCATAAAAAAGAACAAGATCATGTCTTTTGCAGGAACATAGATGGAGCTGGAGACTATTATCCTTAGCAAACTAACACAGGAACAGAAAACCAAATACTGCATGTTCTCATTTATAAGTAGGAGCTAAATGATGAGAACTCATGGACACAAAGAGGGGAATAACAGACACAGGGGCCTACCTGAGGGTGGAGGGTGGGAGGAGGGAGAGGAGCAGAAAAAATAACTATTGGATACTGGGCTAAGTACATAAGTGATGAAATAATCTGTACAACAACCCCCCATGACACGAGTTTACCTATATAACAAACCTGCACATGTACTCCTGAACCTAAAATAAACATTTTTTTTTAAAGTTATGTTTAGGCTGGGCGTGGTGGCTCAAGCTTGTAATCCCAACACTTTGGGAGGCCAAGGCGGGTGGATCACCTGAGGTCAGAAGTTCAAAACCAGCCTGGCCAACAGGCCAAACCCGGTCTCTACTAAAAATACAAAAATTAGCCTGGTGTGGTGGCGCACGCCTGTAGTCCCAGCTACTTGGGAAGCTGAGGCAGGAGAATCACTTGAACCTGAGAGGAGGAGGTTGTAGTGAGATTGAGCCACTGCACTCCAGCCTGGGTGATAGAGCAAGACCCTGTCTCAAAAAAAAAAAAAAAGAAAAGAAAAAAAAAGTTATATTTAGCTGGGCCTGGTGGGTCACACCCGTAATCCCAGCACTTTGTGGGGATCAAGGTGAGAGGCTAGCTTGAGGCCAGGAGTTTGAGACCAGCCTGGGCAACAAAGTAGGACCCTATCTTTACAAAAGAAAAAAAGAGTCATGTTTATACTATACTGTAGTCTATTAAGTGCAATAGCATTATGTCTGAAATAACTATGTACATACCAAAAATACTTCATTGTCAAAAAATGCTGACACAGAAACATGAAGTGTGCGCACACTGTTGGAAAAATGGCAACAATAGACTTGCTCAATGCAGGGACATCATAAGCCTTCAGTTTGTAAAATACACTGTATCTGTGCAGTGCTATAAAGTGAATCTTAAAAAAACAAGATGTGCCTTTATCAGGGAATAAATTGCATAATGTGAATGTCGCACTTTCTCATGTGAGATTTTGTCTTTGAAAAACACTGGATGAACAAACACAGAATACTGCACCCGGGTGAACTGAGCTGCATTGGGGTGCACAAAGCGACACATGGGCCACCCTGGCCAGGACAATGAGCCACCCCCACCCCCACCTGGGGTCCCAACTTTCCACACCGAATTTCAGGTGCTGCTCCTTCCACCCCTTCACAGTAACTCACAAGTAGCCACCTTTCCAAAGGCCGCTGGGCTGTGTGGTCCTAAACTCGCCTTCTCTTTAATTTTCCCTTCTTCCTTCTCAGCCTACTTTACGTATTTCCTCTCTGTTCTCTTTCTTTTCCTCCCCTTTTTTCTCTCTATCTTTTGCTCTCTTCCTCTTTTACACAGGTGGTGGGCCTGGGAGCCAGCCGGTGAGTGGGCAAGAGTGTAGGTGAACACCCTGCATGGGAACTTCAGGTCTTTTGCGAGCTGATGTGCTGTCATTGTTGTATTTTATATGCATTTCTTAACCATGGAACATGTATGAAACTGTGCTGCCATTTTTATTAGGTTCCAAGGTTGTTAACGTCACTAATGAAGTTTTCGAGTATTCTACTCCTAACCTGGTTTTCCTGGTAAGCCCTGTGGTTTTATTGCTGCAGTGATTTTTAGGAACGCCTGTTGCAATCCCCAGAACCTATCACATTTCAGTAATAGATATCAGCACAGCCACAGTAATCATCAGTTTTCATTAGGCCCACCTGTTTCTCCCTGGCATCATTTAAGTTAGGAAGAAAGTGATCTGCCAGTACTGGCCAGGTGTGGTTGCTCACGCCTGTAATCCCAGCACTTTGGTGAGGCTGAAGCAGGCAGATCGCTTGAGCTCAGGAGTTCAAGACCAGCCTGGGCAATATAGCGAAACCCCGTCTCTACCAAAAATACAAAAATTAGCTGGGCATGGTGGCGCACTCCTGTGGTCCCAGCTACTCAGGAGGCTGGAGTGAGAGGATCAATTGTGACCTGGAAGTTGAGGCTGCGAGCCGACATCATGCCACTGCACTCCAGCCTGGGTGACAGAGTGAGACCCTGTCTCAAAAATAAATAAATAAGAAGGAAAGAGGTCTTCCAGTGCCATCCTTGAGAAGACTGGCATCTAGGCCACAGGGACTGAGGGCTGCTGGCCACTTCATGGTGGGACTAGCTTTGCCTCCCTGCAGAAAGCCAGGGATGCCCCCGCCAGGCCCTTCTCAAAGCATCACTTGCTGCACATCTCCTGAGCCGCCACTTGCTCTCAGGAGCCCTTGGCTTCTTGCACACTAAAAACCACACACCGTCATCCATTTAGGCGGCAAAAGTTACCTTCTGACAGCAAATGCTGAGCCAGGGGATGCCCTAGAAAGCAGGGTAACTGGAAGGCCACACGTGGAAACGAGGAAGTCAGGTTGTGCAGGTTCATTTGGGGCAGATTCAACAGAGCACTGAACATCCAGAGGAGTTTAAGGTGGGGATGGAGTCTTGCTACATTGCCCAGGCTGGTCTCAAACTCCTGGCCTCAAACCATCCCCCTGCCTCAGCCTCCCAAAGTGCTGGGATTACAGATGTGAGTCACTGCGCCCAGTGTGAGGGTTTTGACACAGAAATCATATGCAAGTTAGAGGTGACCAAAATAAGCACAAAAGAGACCTTTCTAGAAGCAGCTGGCTGAGGAATATTCTGTGGGCCTGACTTCCTAAATCTCCCATGTGCCTTGTGGGAAGACAGTTGGTGTTCTGCCTGTCCAGGGAAGTGTGTAGGTCTCAGAAAATCTGGAGTGGGGTCTTAGCAAGCTGCTTCTACCCTAATCTCATTTTCTGAAACTCCTATGGGTAGCAAAAGCCATCCATGGCCCCTGGACACAAAATTCAGGTCCTGAATGTAATTTCTCACCACACAACCAGAAGCAGCTTCCTGTGTTTTTCACGATTAAATAAATAATTACGTGAGCAGCCCCAATGTACGATGTAGGTCCGCAGACAGGGACAACTGGGCTAAGACATAGAGGAGGCTGGAAGAGCAGGCCTGGCTCCAGCCCGTCACACTAGCTTGGAGAGACAGGCTGGATTCTTAGGCAATGAGAAGCCAATGAGTGTTTGGTGGCATAAGGAGAGTTGTACTCTGCGATGAATACTCTGTCAGCATGATTTGGGAGAAATTAGAGAAGAAATGACATGAAAAATGGAAGCATGCAGGAGAAAGTTGAAGACTCCAATACATGACAGGGACAGACTCAGAAAGGTTGGGGAACTGAGGAGGTGACGCGTAAGGAAGAGGAGAACATGGTGGCCCTAAGTGTACTCCATTCAGCTCTAAGGCACAAAGCATGCCTGACAAACAGCCCCAGATGCTGGCCTCTGGGGCCACCGCTGCATCACGCTGAGGCCCCACGTCCCTGAGCCCGGTGAGGGTGCTGGGGCAAGCCCATTCCTGTAGGATGCCTGCTCCTCTCTTGGGTGATCTGCTAAGCAGGCCTCAATGGCCCAGCCCAATCTTTCCTAGATCCACGTTGCAGGCTGTGGGTCCTCCCACCAATCTTCCTGCCCTTTTCTCCTTCCCCAAGGCTGAAGGATCTCCCTGCCTCCTGGCCTGCTCCTTCCCCTTTATCCTTCATAGGTCTGAGAACAGGGAAGAGGTTTTGGGACTGGCTGACTCACTGCCCTGCAGGCGAGGGGGACCGTTACATCTATGCCATTTACAGTGTGTGATGCATAGACTATCTCATCTGATCACCACAGTGGCCCTGTGGGCTACCTACCACAGACTCCACTATACCAGTAAGGAAACCGAGGCTGGGGGTATTTCAATAGTCTCCCAAGGTCTCACAGCTAATACATGGCATAGCTAAGACTAGTATGCAATCTTCTTTTTTTTTTTTTCTGAGACGGAGTCTGGCTCTGTCACCGAGGCTTGAGGGCAATGGCACGATCTCGGCTCACCGCAATCTCCACCTCCTGGGTTCAAACGATTCTCCTGCTTCGGTCTCCCAAGTAGCTGGGATTACAGGTGCCCGCCACCACACCCAGCTAATTTTTGTATTTTTAGTAGAGACAGGGTTTCCCCATGTTGGCCAGGCTGGTCTCAAACTCCTGACCTCAGATGATCTGCCTGCCTCAGCCTCCCAAAGTGCTGGGATTACAGGAATGAATCACCGCACTGGCCCCTGTTTGGAAATTTTTGAACCAACATAAGACTATTACCCCGATACCGCTTTTTTTCTTTTTAATATTCTAATCAATTATAATATGCAAATATTCTAGACAGGGTTGCTATTACAATATATAGACATCACTGTTTCTTCACTTGGTCTTTCCATTAGCCTGGTACTGTAATAACCTCCAAACTATGTTGCAACACAGTTTCACGCTTAATATTTTGTTTACATTCCATTTATTGGAGCACACTTAATCTAACCATTTCTCTACTGCTAACATTTAGGTTGTTTCCAGTTTTTTTGGCTATTTTTATTTATTTATTCTATTTATTTTACATTTTATTGTTATTATTTTTTGAGACAGAGTTTCACTCTTGTTGCCCAGGCTGGTGTGCAGTGGTGCGATCTTGGCTCACTGCAACCTCCACTTCCCGGGTTCAAGCGATTCTCCTGCCTCAGCCTCCTGAGTAGCTGTGATTACAGGCACCCGCCACCATGCCCAACTAATTTTTTTGTATTTTTAGTAAAGACAAGGTTTCACCATGTTGGCCAGGCTGGTCTCGAACTCCTGACCTCAGGTGATCCACCCGCCGTGGCCTCCCAAAGTGCTGGGATTATAGGTGTGAGCCACCACACCCAAACATTTTTTGGCTATTTTTAAAAAGCATCAGCAGTGAGTATTGCTCTTTCTCTGTAGGACTTCCTTCCTCAAATCCTCTTTCCCAAAGTGGGATTGCTGGGTGAAAGGCTGTGAACATTTTGATGGCCTTCGATTGTATTGCTATTGTTGGGAATGTGGGCAAGGGGAGTCCAGAGAGGTAGGACATGAGCAAATCACCACCAACACCAGAGATATAATAGGCATGCCTTTCCACCTTCCTACGGGTCCAGCTCCAAACCCCCTCCTGCAAAAATCTTTCCCCAACCTGCACCGCCCCCACCCCGTACAATTAATCCTTCCTTTGCCTTCACCCTATTATACCAATGGTTGTAACAATGCCTCATCTAGTCTGCAAACTCTTTATTGTACAATGTATCTCTACAATCTCGTGTAATCTGCAGGAGTATCTTTATCTCTCATTTTACAAATGAGGACACTGAGAATCAGAGTAATTGCCTTGTTCAAGGACACTCAGTCAGCAAGAGGCAATGCCAGCTCTTCACATACAGAGTTCTTTCCATTGCAGAGCTGTGAAACAGTGACTCAAATCCACAGTGAACTTTCTGTCTTTGTCTGAAGAGGTTCCTGCACCCAGAGTTGGAGATACTTACATTTGAGATAATGCTGACGTCTCCTCCTGGCCAGGCAGCCTCTTCAGCTTTCAGAAAACTCTATCAGGGCGAGGGATGTGCTTTCTTCCAGAGCAGTCATTCTCAGCAGAGTAGACTGAACCGTGAGGAGACAGGGAGGAGGAGGGAGGGGAGAATGGTGAATCAGAATTACTTTTTGCAAATTCTGATAAGCCTGGGCATGTGTCAGGCTCTAAGGAGGGGTGAGGAGGGAAAGGCAGGTTGAAACTTGAAAGAAAATCTGATAAGCACCCTAGATAGAGAATCTTTGATCGAAGCTGAAGATCTGCTGGAGGTCAGCATCGGGCTTTCTATCCTGGTTCCTGGCAGGACAATTCCCGTCACAATGCGATTTCCTGGATATAGCCCATTTAATTCTGATTACAAACTAGCCATTCCTTATGCAGGAACAAAGGTATGAGGATAAACAAAATGTAAACCCAGACAATGCAAACAGATAAAGGAAGGACCTTTGCACCCACTCTTTGTTCTAATGCTGGGAAGAAACTTGTACAGCACCTTGTCGCATGTCCTACTAATAATGGCTGAATGGCCAAGTGGGAAAAGATCTGGTGTAGAAACCATGCCAACAAATTTGAAAACCATCAGATGCTGTGACATGAACAGTTTGTTAAAAGATGCACCGGCAGTATCCTCTGTATTTACCTAGTGAGGGACTTCTGGGAAATCCTCCTTCTTTTCTTCATCTGCTGCCTGGGATGCAGATGTGGTCACTGGAACTCCAGCAGCCAACTTGAACCATGAGGCACACTTGGGGAGGGTGCTGCAGTGATCTGCAGGGATCCTCAAGGACAGCACGGAGCTGTCCTCACCGCCTGAGCTACTGACTTCTGGACTCTTATTCCCTGAGACAAGGATCATAGTAAAGGACCAAGCTTAACACCTTCACAGGACAAATCACAGAAAGGGAGTCCCTTCTACAAGTATAGGAAACAATGTGGCCAGGTGCCATGGCTCACGCTTGTAATCCCAGCACTTTGGGAAGCTGAGGTGGGAGGATCATTTGAAGCCAGGAGTTCAAGGCCAGCCTGGGCAACAAAGCGAGACTCCATCTCTACAAAAAAATAAAAATAAAAAAAATCAGCAAGGCAGGCATGGTGGCATGGGCCTGTAACCCCAGTGTCTCAGGAGGCTGAGGTGGGAGGATGCTCGAGCCCAGGCATCCGAGGCTGCAGTGAGCCATGATCATGCACTGCACTCCAGCCTGGGCAACAAGTCAGACCCTGCTCTACAAAAAAAATAGAACAATTATTTATCAGGGACAGTGGCATGTGCCTGTAGTCCCAGTGACTTAGGAGGCTGAGGCAGGAGGATACTCAAGCCCAGGAGTTTGAGGCTGCAGTGAGCTGTGATCACACCACTGCACTCTATCCTGGGCAACAGAGCAAGACCCCATCTCTAATAATAATAATAATAATAATAATAATAATAATAATAATAATAATAATAAAACAAAACCAAAAACAATCAACCTCTCATAGCTGATGGCACAAGCCTCCCTTGCAGGGCACATGCTGATTCTCCACCTTTCCAATGCTTGAGCGTTAACAGAAAATAAATATAGTAAGTAAATTTTATGATCTATAAGAAAAGCTGAGTGCTCTGGGGAAAATAGAGAGTTGTAGGGGGTTGGGAATGTGGGGAGAGGCAGGAAATGTGAAATTTTAAATAAAGGGATCAGAGAAAACCTCACTGAGAAGGTGGCAACTAAGCAAAGTCTAAAAGGAAGTTAAGGAATGAGCCATGAAGCTACGCAGGGGAAGAGTGTTCCAGGCAGAGGGAAGTCAGTGCAAAGGCCCTGGGGCAGGAGCAAAGCTGGTATGTTGGGGGCAGGGAGGCTAGAGCCAGAGTCACAGGGGAGTAGTAGGCGAGGTCAGTGTGTGTGTGTATGTATGTGGTGTGTGTATGTGACGTGTGTGCATGTGAGCATAAGTGTGTGTGTGGTGCATATGTGTACACGTGTCTGGTGTGTGCATATGTGTGCTGTATGTACATGTGGAGGGTGCATGTGTGTGGTGTATGTGTGTGCTGCATGAATGTGTATACGGTGTGTCTATATGTGTGGTGTGTATGTGCATGTGTGAGGTGTCTGGGTGTGTGGTGTATGTGTGTGTAGGGCGTATGTATGTGAATGTGTATGTGAGTGTAAGTGGTACATGTACATGTATATGTGTATATGTATGTGAATGATGTGCACAAGTGTGGTATAGATAGGTAAATATGTATATGTACATATGAATGGTGTATGTATGTGTGTTGTGCCTGTGTGCATGTGTGGTGTGTGCTTGTGGTGTGCATGATTTGTGTGTGTGTGTGTGTGTGTGTGTGTTTACTTGGTGTTTGGGGAGTGGGGAGGGGGTGGCTATTGGAAGGGCATATTCCTGGCAACATGGTTTGTGTGTGTGTGTGTGTTTACTTGGTGTTTGGGGAGTGGGCAGGGGAATGACGATTGGAAGGGCATATTCCTGGCATCACCTGGTCTCTGAACTCTCCCATTTCCAAGCCTGATTCCATCTTGCTCCTCCCTCTTAAGAAAGAATCTGATATCAGCTGCTGTTAAGATCATTCTATCTGATTCTCTCAGGTCTGTACCATGACTTAACCTAGGCCTATCAGTGCTCCTGGCCCATGCAGAAAAGCCAGAGGTGGGAATACAAACCAAGCAGTGGGGTCTCAGTTTTCAGGAAGAGTTTAAAGCTCCATTGGATCATTCACGCAACCTCTCTGATTTGAAATAAGAGCGGGGGAAAATGAAGGTTTTCTAATTCAAAATTAAAGGTTCTGGCTTTAAAAGAACCAAGTGGGAGAGGGTTGGGTGCTTTTGGTGGTTGTTTTTCAGGACCGGAAGTACTGGAGGAAGGAAAATTAACAATTTCTTGAAAAAGGAAAGACGTCATCATCCCCTGCCAATCAACATGGATCAACAGGAAGAGGACATGGGGGGCTCCTCTCTGTTTGAGAGCATCCCAGGTGCCGTTTCCAGGCTGGCTGTGCCTCAGCTTGCCTGAATTCAGGCATAAGAGGATGATTTCTATGCTGAAATACAAACAGAAAGGGACGTAGGGAGCTGGGCCCCTATTCATTCGTGTCATGGTCCTCAGCTGTCTCCAGTCTGCCCATCCCCGCCCGACCTCCATACCACCATTGAGGGAGTTTCTGGAAATGAAATCTGATCAGTTATCCTATTTCAGTGAATCCCAGAATTTTGGACTCCCTGGGCCTGTGAAAGTTTAAATGGAAACTGAAGGCACTGACAGAATGCCCAGCTTTTTATTGTCACCATCATTTGATTAATGACCAGATGTTTAAACATCAAAATACAGGAATAGCACAGTGTCAGAATCAAAGACAGTCCTTTTAATTGAATATGGTTCACTCTATGAAAAATTTGCTTTAGATAAATTATATACATCTATATAATTATAGATGTAATGTATGATTATATGTATATGTAATTATGTTATATAATAATATGTAATTATAATATATGTAATCTTTAACAATTTTGCCACAGACTCATGAAAACTTTGTCATAGACAACAGCTGTTCCGGGCAGAGGGAAGTCATAGACAACAGCTGGCCCCAGGGCTGTGCTTACAAGGGGCCCCTGGCCCATGGAGCAATCCTGGGCTCCCAATGGGGTGAGAGGGACCCTTGCCAGCCCCTCACTCCCCACCTCACACTCCTGCCCCACTCACAGGTTCCTGAGCCTTGTGTTGTCTCGTGCCTCCTTGTCCCAGTCAGTCCCTTCTGCCTGGATGCCCTTCTCCTCCTCTTAGCCTTTATGTAATCTCCTACTCAACTCTTAAAACTCTGCTTAGTTATTACCTTCTCTGTCGAGTTTCGTTTTTCTTCTGCACCTAAGAAGACAGAATTGCTCACTCATGCCTTAGAATGGCGTCTTAGTCTGTTTTGTGTTGCTACAACAGAATACCCGAGACTGGGTAATGTATAAACAACAGAAATGTATTTTTCACCATTCTGGAGGCTGGGAAGTCCAAGGTCAAGGCATCAGCATCTGGTGTGGGGCTTCTTGCTGTGTCCTCACATGGCAGAAGGTGGAAGGGCAAGAGAGGATGAACGCTTTGTCCTCACATGGTGGAAGAGCAGAAGAGAGAAAGCCCACTCCCACAAACACCCCCCTCCTTTTTTTTTTTTTTTTTTTTCTTAGCAGAGTCTCACTGTATTGCCCAGGCTGGAGTCCAGTGGCATGATCTCAGCTTACTGCCATCTCTGCCTCTCGCTGCAAGTGATTCTCCTGCCTCAGCCTCCAGATTAGCTGGGATTACAGGTGCCCACCACCATGCCTGGCTAATTTTTGTACTTTTAGTAGAGACAGGGTTTGGCCATGTTGGCCAAGCGTGTCTCAAACTCCTGGCCTCAAGTGATCCACCTGCCTCAGCCTCCCAGAGTACTAGGATTACAGGCATGAGCCACCACACCTGGCCACAAGCCCTTTTTATGTTGGCATTAATCCATTCATGAGGGCAGAGCCCTCATGGCTTAAACACCTCGGCTAGGAACCACTTCCCCACATTATTGCATTGGGGATTACATTTTCATCATATGGATTTGGGGGGACACATTCAGACCATAGACATGGTATCACTTTCCCTTCCCCCCATCCCTTGCAATTTTAATCATTTTGATGAACTGTTCTCTGTTTTCCCCCTCTGGTTTCAGGCGTCTTTGCAACCTAGACCCTGGTGCACAGCCCGGAATCCCAGTGCTCCTGGTGCGCCATTGCCAATAGTAACCACAGAAGCTAGAGTGTGGAACGCAGTGAGTCTAGAGTCCTGGCATCCAGAGCCTGGGTGGGAACTCAGGGTGGGCTGGGAACAGGCAAACGAACATCTCTCCTGGCTGCTCGGGCCGTGGCTGGAGGGGAGTGGGCTTCCATCATGGAGTCCTGAAGCCCTGCTTCTGCCCTGAGCTTTGTGCACCACGCCACTGCCCCTCAGAAAACCCGGGGGATGCAAATGGTATGGCTTTTTTTTTTTTTTTTTTTTTTTGAGATGGAGTTTCGCTCTGTCGCCCAGGATGGAATGCAGTGGCGCAATCTCCACTCACTGCAAGCTCCGCCTCCCGGGTTCACGCCATTCTCCTGCCTCAGCCTCCCGAGTAGCTGGGACTACAGGCGCCCGCCACCACACCCGGCTAATTTTGTTTTTGTATTTTTAGTAGAGACGGGGTTTCACCGTGTTAGCCAGGATGGTCTCCATCTCCCGACCTTGTGATCTGCCCACCTCGGCCTCCCAAAGTGTTGGGGGTATCACTTTTCTATCTTTGTCATTGTGTTGATTTTAAAATATCTGATTCTTTCTCCAGTTCCTTGTTTACTGTAGGTCCCCCCACAAAAGTAAGCACATAGTAGATGCTCATTAAATGCTTACCAGGCCAGGCGTGGTGGCTCATGCCTGTAACCCCAGCACTTTGTGAGGCTGAGGCAGGTGGATCTCCTAAGGTCAGGAGTTCGAGACCAGTCTGGCTAACATGATGAAACCCCATCTCTACGAAAAATACAAAGACATTAGCCAGGCGTGGTGGCGGCGCCTGTAATCCCAGCTACTCAGGAGGCTGAGGCAGGAGAATCTCTTGAATCCAGGAGGCAGAGGTTGCAGTGAGCCGAGATCGCACCACTGGCACTCCAGCCTGGGCGACAAGAGTGAAACTCCAACTCAAAAAAAAAAAAAAAAAAAGAAATGCTTACCAAACTGAACTGTTGTTGAGCAGAAACCACCCTGTTCAAAGCAAAGTTTACTTCTTGAAAATGACTCATACATGAGCCAAGTGATAACAAAACAATTTCCCTGTGCAGTTCACATCAAGTACTTCAGGGGGGACCAAGTCATTCATCTCAGTGTTCAGACAGGTCCTGAAAGATAAATTCTGTAGAGATGTGTTTAAAACAAAGATCATTTCGGGAGGCTGAGATGGGAGGATCTCCTAAGCCTGGGAATTCGAGGCTGCAGTGAGTCTTGGTCGCACCACTGCACTCCAGCCTGGGTGACACAGTGTGACCATATCTTAAAAAAAAAAATGAGTAAAACAATGATTATAACACTTGTACTAACACATCTTTAAAAAAAAAAGGGAATAATTGTATTGTGGGTGGGCTTTTCTTTTAATTTGTTTAACTTAAAACTTGTTCAGATCAGATGTTATTTATTATTATTATTATTATTATTATTATTATTATTTTCTGAGACAGAGTCTTGCTCTGTCGCCCAGGCTGGAGTGCAGTGCAGTGACACAATCTTGGCTCACTGCAACCTCCGCCTCCCAGGTTCAAGCAATTCTTATGCCTCAGCCTCCTGAGTAGCTGGGATTACAGGCACCTGCCACCACGTCCGGCTAATTTTTGTATTTTTAGTAGAGACGAGGTTTCACCATGTTGGCCAGGCTGGCCTAGAACTCCTGACCTCAGGTGATCCACCTGCCTCAGCCTCCCAAAGTGCTGGGATTACAGGCATGAGCCACTGCACCTGGCTCAGATCTTATTTTCTTGAAGTAGTCTAGCTGAAGTGCAAAGCACCCTTTGCCCCTTTACACTTAAAACATGCCAGCTCACAATTAGCCAGGCATGGTAGCAGTCACCTGTAATCCCAGCTACTCAGGAGGCTGAGGCAGGAGAATTGCTTGAACCTGGGAGGCAGAGGTTGCAGGGAACTGAGATTGCACCATTGAACTCCAGCCTGGTCGACAGAGATTCCGTCTCAAAAAACAAAACAAAACAAACAAAAAAACCCCACCAAAACCAAAAAAAAAACCACGCGGGCTCAGGGCTGGAATACAGTCCCGTGTCATGCACATGTCTTCCTTCTCAACCATGAAGCTTTGCAGGTTCAGAAGTGGGCAGAAACCCCTGAGTCCCTGTATTCTTGTGGATGTTAACTGTATGGACCAAATGTCCTTCATTCCAGTTAAAAGATCTGAAACTACAATGATCGGCAATCCACTCATTTCGGACCAAATATGGTATGTTTTGGCTCAGAACACATACTCCATGGAGCTGTCATCCACAGGAAGGTTTAGCAGAGACAAGTACTTATCTTCTTCCAGGAACTAGAGTGCTAAATATTTACAAATTTAAGAGAGGCTGTGTCCCTGAGACCCTCTCAAGAGAGGAGTGGTTGGCTGAGGGTTTTTTTCCCTCTTTCTGGGTTTACACTGAAGATATATTATTACAAAACAAATGATGAAATATGAGACGTGTTCAACTGGTTGTTTGGGCAACATGACATCCACTGGCTAGTGTGGCCCATCTGCGAAGCATTTTTTGTTTTTGTTTTTGTTTTTGAGACGGAGCCTCACTCTGTCGCCCAGGCTGGAGTGCAGTGGCGTGATCTTAGCTCACTGCAACCTCCGCCTCCCAGGTTCAAGCAATTCTCCTGCCTCAGCCTCCAGAGTAGCTGGGACTGCAGGTGCCCGCCACCATGCCCGGCTAATTTTTTTGTGTCTTTAGTAGAGACGGGGTTTCACCATGTTAGCCAGGATGGTCTCGATCTCCTGACCTTGTGATCCACCTGCCTCGGCCTCCCAAAGTGCTGGGATTACAGGCGTGAGCCACCGCACCTGGCTAAACAAGTTATTTATGTAAAGTGCCTAGAACAGTGCTTGGCACATAATGAGCACTAGATGTCGGTAAACTATCATTATTAGCAAAGGTAATACTATAAAGTACATTGTATTACTTACTATATGGGATTTGCAGCTGTTAACAGTCCCCAGACTAGTAACTCAAACAAGATAAAAGTTAATTTCTCTTTCTAGAAGCCGTTAGAGGAGTGGGACAAGGCAGGCAGTTGCTCTGTTGCATGAAGATTCGTCCTGTAGCACGGGGCCCTTGTCTACATCAAAGCATTATCTCCAGGGTGTCACTGCAGAAAGGGGAGAGAGGAAGTGAACAACAACTAGCTTCCTTTTGAAGGATATGACCCCTTCATTGCATATGTCACTTCCGCTCACATCTTGTGGCCAGAATTTAGACCTTTTGCCAAAGCTGGCTAAAAGGGAGGTGACGACTGCTCGCCTACATGTAGGATTCAGCCACACTGCCCTAGAGCCTTGACACCCACCCAAGCCAACCACTTAAAATGGGGCTGGAGGGGCCAGATTTCTTCTACTAAATGAAAGAAAGGATACTGGGGAATAGCTGGCGGTCTCTGCCACACACTCTTTTTCTTTAGTGGGATTATTTTGTATGTGCTGCTGTACATATGGGTTTCTCATCGAGCAGTGTATTGGGTGCCGTTCCCTAAGTTCCTGTACACAGATCTGGTTTATGTCATCCATCAGCTCTCTTGTATTCCAGGAAATGGAAATCTCTCTTTTTTTTTTTTTTTTTCGAGATGGAGTCTAACTCTGTCACCCAGGCTGGAGTGCAGTGGTACAATCTTGGCTCACTCAACATCCGCCTATGGGGTGCAAGCAATTCTCCAGCCTCAGCCTCTCTAGTAGCTGGGATTACAGGCATGTGCCACCACGCCCGGCTAATTTTCGTATTTTTAATAGAGACAGGGGGTTGCCATGTTGGCCAGGCTGATCTCGAACTCCTGACCTCAGATGATCCACCCGCCTCAGCCTCCCAAAGTGTTGGGATTACAGGCGTGAGCCACTGTGCCTGGCCAGGAAATGGAAATCTCTTAATTCACTTAGCCAAGTCTTACTGATGGATGGACACTGAGGTTGTCTCCAAGTTTTGCTATTACAAACAAAGCAGCAATGTACTTTTTTTTTTTTTTTGAATCAGAGTCTCATTCTGTTGCCCAGGCTGGAGCACAGTGGCATGATCTCAGCTCACTGCAACCTCCATCTCCTGGGTTCAAGTGATTCTCCTGCCTCAGCCTCCTGAGTAGCTGGGACTACAGGTGCACACCACCACACCTGGCTAATTTTTGCATTTTTGGTAGAGACAGGGTTTTACCATATTGGCTAGGCTGGTCTTGAACTCCTGACCTCAGGTGATCTGCCCACCTCGGCCTCCCAAAGTGCTGGGATTACAAGCATGAGCCACCGTGCCCAGCCAAAGCAGCAATGTACATCCTTCTACATATTTTTTGCACATTTTTTTTTGCCAGCCTTTCTATCACATAGGCTTACAGAAGCAGAAAGAGTTTGCACATTTAACATTTTGACACATATGTGAGTCTTCACATCTAGAGATCGCCCCTTTAGAGACATGATTCCCATCTGAAGACCTCGGGGGAGAGGTCACCAATCCCCACCCATCAATGACAATCTTGATTTATAGCTGACTCAGACTAACATCCTGGAAAAAAAAAAAGGAAAGGCGACAGAAACTTGACACTTGTTGAGAGCTAGGTATTATTATCCTTATAAGTGTGGAAATACAGACATGGAACAGTTACATGATCTGTCCAGTTCACAGAGCTGATAAGGCTTTCCTTTTCGTTCTTTTTTTTTTTTTTTTTGAGACGAAGTCTTGTTCTGTTGCCCATTCTGGAGTGCAATGGTGCCAACTCGGGTCATTGCAACCTCCGCCTCCTGGATTCAAGCGATTCTCCTGCCTCAGCCTCCCGAGTAGCTGGGACTACAGGCTGAGCCACCATGCCCAGCTAATTTTTTGTATTTTTAGTAGAGACGGGGTTTCACCATTTTGACCAGGCTGGTCTCAAACTCTTGACCTCAGATGATCCACCCGCCTTGGCCTCCCAAAGTGCTGGGATTACAGGCATGAGCCACCATGCCCAGCCTTCATTCTTTTCTTAAATCAGCTTTATGGAGGTACAATTTACATACAATAAAATTTGCCAAACTTTAGTATGTAATTTGCTACATTTTAACAAATGTGGACAGCTTTGTAGCCAGCACTAGAATCATGATATGAAACATTTTCATCACCCCTAAAAGATCCCTCATTTACAGCCAATCCCTTTTTTCCATCCCAGCCCTGCCAGCCGCGGATCCACTTTCTGTGGCTATCATTTTGTTTCTAGAATTTCATATGAATGGAGTCTTACAGTATGTGATCTTCTGTGTCTGACAGATTCACCCATGTTGTTACGTGTATGTGTACTTCATTCTTGTTTTTATTTGCTGATGAGCATTTTATGACTTGTTTCATTCACAAGTTGATGGACATTTGGGTTATTTCCAGTTTTTACCTATCACAAATAAAGCTGCTATGAATGTTCCTGTACAAGTTTATGTGAATACATGTTTTCATTTCTCTTGGGTAAACATTTAGGTGTAGGATGGCTGGGCTATATAGGTGGTGTATATTGAAATATATGAGAAATTGCCAAACTGTTTTCCAAAGTGAGTATATCATTGTGCATTCCCAACAGCTATCTATGGGAGTTCCAGTGGCTCCACATCCTTGCCAACATGATCAGTCTTTTTCATTTTCGCCATTTTAGTGGATATGTAGACATATTTCATTGTGATTTCAAATTGCATTTTCTTTTTCTTTTTTCTCTCTTTTTTTTTTTTTTTTTTTTTTTGAGACAGGGTCTTTTTCTGTCTCCCAGTCTAGAGTGCAGTGGTGTGATCACAGCTCACTGATGCCTAAGCCTCCTGGGCTCAAGCTATCCTCCCACCTCAGCGTACCATGCAGTTGGGACTACAGATGTGTGCACACCACCATGCCCAGCTAATTTCTTTGATTTTTGTTTGTTTGTTTGTTTTAGTAGAGACAAGGTCTCATTATGTTGCCCAGGCTAGTCTTGAACTCCTGGACTCAAGCTTTCCTCCCACCTTGGTCTCTCAAAGTGCTAGGATTACAGGCATGAGCCACTGCATGCAACCTGATTTTCTTTTTCCTTTCTTTCTTTTTTCTTTTTTTGAGACGAAGTCTCGCTGTGTGTCACCCAGGCTGGAGTGCAGTGGCACTATCTTGGCTCACTGCAACCTCCGCCTCCCGGGTTCAAACAATTCTCTTGTCTCATCCTGCCAAGTAGCTGGGATTACAGGTGCGTACCACCATGCCCAGCTAATTTTTGGCAGAGACGGGGTTTCTCCATTTTGGCCAGGCTGATCTCGAACTCCTGACCTCAGGTGATCTGCCTGCCTCAGCTTCCCAAAGTGCTGGGATTATAGGTGTGAGCCACCATGCCCGGCCATGATTTGTATTTTCTTAATGATGAATGATGTTGATTTCCTTAGCCATTTGTATATTTTCTTTGGTGAAATGTCTATTCAAATATTTCACCTCCTCCCCAACACTTAAAGTGTTTTAAATTTTTTAAAATTAGTTTGTTTGGCTTCTTATTACCGAGTTGTAATAGTTCTTCATGTATTCAGAGTGCAACTCCTTTAACAGATACATATTTTGCAAATATTTTCTCCCATTCTATGGCTTGCTTTTTTCTTTTCTTAACAGTGTACTTTTATTTTGAAACAAGGTCTCACCCTGTTGCCCAGGCAGGCTGGAGTGCAGTGGCATGATCATAGCTCACAGCAGCCTCAAATTCCTGGGCTCAAGCCATCCTCCCACCTCAGCCTCCCAAGGAGCTAGAACTACAGGCACATGCTATCTTGCCCAGCTATTTTTTTTCTGTAGAGATTGGGGTCTTGCTATACTGCCCAGGCTGGCTCGAACTCCTGGGCTCAAATGATCCTCCTGCCTCAGCCTCCCAAAGTGCTGGAATTACAGGCATGAGCCACTGTGCCCAGCCAACAGTGTACTTTGAAGAGCAAAAGTTTTAAATTTTGATGATGACCCATTTATTGATTGCTTTTTATGAATTGTGCTTTTAGAGTCATTTGTATTAACTACATTTTCTTATTTTTGATATTGTTGATGCTCTGACATCTGAGACCTTGCTGAGCCAAGAGGGGCTGCCCCTCCCAGGCGGGGTAAGCTAATTCCCAGAGATAGCAAAGGACATGCCTGCAAGCATGCCTTCCATATGCAAACCAATCAATCCAGAGCTCACACCCCCAGCCACTTCCCTTAGTGGGTTCCCACACTCTGGGCCACTATCTACCTGCCCTAGTCACCCCAGAACCTGGTACCAGACAACTAGGGACAGTCCCTGTGACCCAGAGCCACCAAATTGTTCAAACTGCCCAATACTAACCCTGACTAGCCTGCTTATATTGCATCATCTATTTCTTCCCATGAAAACCATGATAAAGGCTCCTGCCCCCAGGTCCCATCACCCCAGCCTGCTGTCTTACCTGAGTACTTCTCCCTGTGGCCCTGCATGGAGTGCCATGCCTCCTGTCTCTAGGGACTGAGTATAACAAAAACCTTTTCCTTTATACCAATTATTTTCATATCTGCATGTCTTACCATACCCAATTAAAACAAATCTCAAATACAATTAAAACTCACTTCTGAGAAATCTTTGCCTAACCCAACCTCGCAAAGATTTTCTACATGTTTTCTTCTAGAACAGAGGTCACCAAGCTACGGCCTGTGGGCCAGTGGCTTGTTTTTCTAAATAAGGTTTTACTGGATTATGGCCATACTCTTCATTTTTGTAATGTTTATGGCTGCTTTTGTGCTATGACAGAGTTAAGTAGTCATGACAGAGACCACATGGCCCATAAGCCTAAACATCTGCTACCTCGCCCTTTAAGAAAAAGTAAGATGACCTCTGTTTTAAAAATATTATAGTTTTAGTTCTTACATTTAGGTCTGAGACCCTTTCTGAGTTAAACATTTTTATGATGTGAAGTAAAAGTTAAGGATATTTTTGTGTATGAACATCCACTTCATCCACAAAGCAGCAATGTTTCTTTTTCAAAAAAGACCATCTTTCCATGTTGAATTATGTTGGTCGTCATCAAAAATTAATTGACCATGTAGCTGTTTCTCAACTTTTTATTCTGTTCCATTGATCTTCGTGTCTATTCTTCTACCAATACCACCCTGTCACGTCTATTGTATCTTTCTAGTAAATCTTAAAATTGGGTAACATAAGCTCTCCATTTCCAGTTTCTGGAAAAATTTGTGTAGAATTTGTTGTAAATAAATTTTTGGTGCTGCAAAAGAAATAGCACTCAAACATAAGTTTAATTTTCTCAGCAAGGCAATTTTACTTCTCTAGAAGGGTGCGACTCGCAGATGGAGCAATGGCCAGAGCACACCTGAACAAGGGAGGGGAAGGGGTTCTGATTCCTGACACAGGTAGCCCCTACTGATGCGTCGTTCCCGTATTGGCTAGGGTTGGACTGCACAGTCTAAGCTAATTCCGATTGGCTACTTTAAAGAGAGCAGGGGTATGAGCCAGAGTGGCGGGGTGAGTAGTTTGGTGGGAAGGGTGGTTACAGAACAGGTGACTCAGGATGATTCAGGTCAGAGCAGGTGACCAGGGGTGACTCAGAATGGAGCAGGTGGCCAGGGGTGACTCAGAATGGAGCAGGCGGCCAGGGGTGACTCAGAATGGAGCAGGCGGCCAGGGGTGACTCAGAATGGAGCAGGCGGCCAGGGGTGACTCAGAATGGAGCAGGCGGCCAGGGGTGACTCAGAATGGAGCAGGTGGCCAGGGGTGACTCAGAATGGAGCAGGTGGCCAGGGGTGACTCAGAATGGAGCAGGCGACCAGGGGTGACTCAGAATGGAGCAGGTGACCAGGGGTGACTCAGAATGGAGCAGGTGACCAGGGGAATAGACGTTAACTACTGATTAGAACTGTTGGAAAAGGTTGTTTAGTGAAACTAGGGCTGAGGAGAACGAGGAAGTTCAACTTTAAAATGGAGAACAAAGAACTGAACATACTGACATACTGATTCTTTGAAGAGAAATTTAGAACTCACTGTATTCAACAAATTATTATTTTTGCTTTTAAGTGTCTGTGGAATTCACCGGTGATCCACCTGCCTCAGCCTCCCAAAGTGCTGGGATTACAGGCGTGAGCCATTGTGCCCGGCCAAGAACAGCCTTCCATTTCTACCTTGCCTGTAGCCTCCCAAACCAAAATACGGGTCTCAACACCTGGTCCTTGATCTCCTTGACTCCCGTTGGACCCAAGAAGTATGGCTTCTCTCCCCTTTCCTCTGGTGGATGGCCCTGGACACAACCCACCTCACACTAACAGAGACAGAGGGGTGGTCCAAGGGAAGTGAGTGAGAAGTTACCTGCAGAAGAGGGAACTTTTGAGAGAAGGAACCAGGTAGCTGTGAGGCCCTTGAAAACAGAAGGCTGTCAAGGCAGATTTGAAGGGAGAATATATGTGAATTAGCAAGTGCAGGAGATAGAGAGAGCACTAACTATTAGAAAGAAATGAAAATAGGGCCAGGCGCGGTGGCTCACACTTGTAATCCCAGCACTTTGGGAGGCTGAGGCAAGTGTATCACTTGAGGTCAGGAGTTCGAGTCCAGCCTGGCCAACATGGCGAAACCTCCCCACCATGTCTACTAAAAATACAAAAATTAGCTGGGTGTGATGGTGTGCACATGTAATCCCAACTACTTGGGAGGCTGAGGCAGGAGAATCTCTTGAACCTGGGAGGCGGAGGCTGCAGTGAGTCAAGATTGTGCCACTGCACTCCAGCCTGGGCGAAAGAATGAGACTCCATCAGAAAGGAAGAAAGGAAGGGAAGGGGAAAAGAAGGGAAGGGAAGGGAAGGGAAGGGAAGGGAAGGAAGGAAAGGAAGGGAAGGAAGGAAGGGAAAGGAAGAAAGGAAGGGAAGGGAAAAGAAGGGAAGGGAAGGAAGGAAAGGAAGGGAAGGAAGGAAGGGAAGGGAAGGAAGGAAGGAAGGAAAGGAAGGGAAGGAAGGAAAGGAAGGGAAGGAGGGAAGGGAAGGAAGGAAGGAAGAAAGGAAGGAGAAACTAGGAATAGGGAGAGGATAAAGAAATTTTAGTTTTTGAAAAAGCTGTGTTAAGCTAATCAAGTCACATGAGATCATGCAGAGATGTGGCTACCATAGTATCTAAAGAAAAGGACTCTGAGGCAGGCAGCCTGCCTGGGTTCAAATCCTGCCTCCCCCACTTATTCACTGTGCAATCTTGGGCAAGTTACCTAACCTCTGCCTCAGTTTCCTCATTTGTGATGGTTGTTGTAAGGATCAAGTTATTGCACGTAAAGTACTTAAAACAACTCCTGGCCCATTAAGCACAAGAGACCTGTGTTTTGTTCTTGTACTATCTTCCTCTTCATCATTATGTACCTATAAATTAACTAACCTGGATGTTACTGGCATTTCAAGATTTCCTTGCACAGTGCTAAAAGTCACTGTTCAAATTGTGCTCACAATCTGTGCACTCTTATCAGAATATGGGCAAGAAGTTGGACAGAGTTGCCCTACTAGAGAAAGTGGGTATATAGAGAGCATCTTTTACATATTTGCATTGGGGCTGTCTTTCATCACAATGGGAGCAGAATTTGACAGGCAGTAGGGTGGATGAGGTGCAGCTCCACACTAACCAGCTGAGCCATGTGAGCAAATATTGAGCACATCAACCCCATTCATCATCAGGCTTTTTTTTTTTTTTTTTTTTGAGACAGAGTCTCACTCTATTGTCCAGGCTGGAGTGCAGTGGCACTATCTCAGCTCACTGCAGCTTCTACTTCCTGCTTTCAAGTGATTCTCGTGCCTCAGCCTCTCAAGTAGCTGGGAATACAGGTGCACACCACCATGCCCGGCTAATGTTTTTGTATTTTCAGTAGAGACAGGGTTTCATCATGTTGGACAGGCTGGTCTTGAACTCCTGACCTCTGGTGATCCACCCGCCTTGGCCTCCTAAAGTGCTGGGATTACAGGCATGAGCCACCGAGCCCAGCCATCAGGCTCCCTCTAACACGTGTTTACATTTAATCATTCGATTTGCATAAATCTAGCTTCTTGCCTGCCCTAGACATGTGTGGCTTTGTTGCAAAGCTAGACATGCTTTAAAATTAATTTGAAATGCATGTAACTTTTGCTATCCCAAAGATGGTAATATAGCTGCATAGCATTCCTAGAGACCTCCAACACTTCCTTCCTTCCCGAACAGAGCATTTAACTCTCTTCTCAAACTACCGACTGTCTGGGGCGGTGTGCCATGATGCCCCGGGGGAAGCTCCGTGGATCTGGAAGGCAACTCGGGACATCTGGTCTGGCCAGCCCACCCACGTAATGCATTCAGCAGACCTGCCCCCTACACAGAGGGCTGAGCCTCTGAGCTCCCACAGGCTCTACCTTATAAGCAAAGACTGAAGAGTCTTTGTTCATAAGGAAGAGAGAAGAAAGAAAAGAAGCAATTAAACAGAATTGCAGGAGCTCCTAGAGTCTGTCAGTTTCTTCAGAGCCACGCCAGGGTCTCACCTATCTTTGTAGGCTGCTCAGTAGAAGTGAGGCACCCAGTGGGTGCTGGCTGAGGTCTCCTCTCCCTCGGCAGGGTCCCTTCTGATGGCCTCCCTCCTCCATCTGCAACAATCCCCCGCACCCCTGTGGGCTTCCTTCTTCCCACCACCTCTGCATGCTGGGCCCTCTGGGTTCTGTCTTCTTCCTATTGGAAGCTCCCTTTCCAAATGACCTCCTGTCCTCTGCTGGCCCAGACCTCCCCTTATGTGCTGTGAATCCCCCATCTCCAACTCCAGCCCAGTCTCTCTTCTCAACATGCAGTGGCCGCTTCCATCCATGTCCCCCAGGCATCCTAAATTCAGCACTTCCAAAACTGGAATTCACAGGTTTCCCAAATGCACTTGCACGCCTGGGTTCCTCATCCAGCCCAAGACACCACCTTTCCCCGACTCGCTCTGTCTAAAACCCGAGTCTTCTTCGACTTCCTTCCCTCTTTCCCTCGTGCCTAACGATAGTAATAGTATTGCTCATATGCATTGAGTACATCCAGTGTGCTAGACAGCATACGAATCCCCAGCAGTTTCCTTTGATACACCTACTACATGAGGCAGGTACTATTATCAACAGCATTTTATGGATGAGGAAGTGGGGTGCAGAGAGCTGGCTCGAGGGGGCAGAGCTGGTGGAGAGCTGGACTGAGACTGGGATCTGTTTGATTCCAGAGCTTGAGCCTTTTGCACCACTCTGCTCCATCTTTGACCGCCACACACCCTAAAAACAAAACAAAACCCAAAACACTCCACCACTGAACAATTTTGGTGACCACCGTCCCACCTCTGGGAGGGCTGGGAGTCCCCAGAAAACACAGAAGTAGCTCCCAGGCCCGTAATTCACCCCAACATTTTTGGTTCTAGAAACCTGGCAAAGCAGCCACATTGGCCCAAGCCAGCGACACCGCGCGGCCCCGCGCTTCCCACAGCCCTGGGCCCGGCAAGGCTGAAATCAAGTCTAGAAGATGGCAAGGTGGGAAGGAACGCTCCTCTTTCATCTTGCTTCAGAGAAAACCTTCGCCAGTCTCAGCATCATCAGTACACACGTGGCCTGCTCTTCAGCGGATCTCACCAGTAACACCTTCTGGCATTTGGGCTAGAGACCGGGCCCCTGAGGCCGCCCTGGGAAGCCTGAGGTGTGGA
This sequence comes from Homo sapiens, assembly GCF_000001405.40. NCBI lineage: Eukaryota > Metazoa > Chordata > Mammalia > Primates > Hominidae > Homo > Homo sapiens. The sequence continues at coordinate 236,101,221 of NC_000001.11, forward strand.
GGGGGATTCAGGATGTGCCTCTGTTCCTGTATGTGCAAGTGTGAGTATGAGTGTGTGTGTGAATGTGGAGGTGGGTGAGTGCATGAATGTGTGTGTGTGAATTTGAGTGTCATGTGGGTGTCTCTGTATGCATGTGTGTGTGTACATGGTGTCTTTGTATGCATGTGTGTGTGTGGGTGTTGTGTGTATGTGTACGTGTGTGCATGTGTATGTAAATGTAATTCTGTGGGTGTGTGTGAGTATATGTGTCAGAGTGTCATGTGGGTACATGGGAGTGTTGTGTGGGTGTGAGTGTGTGAGTGCTATGTGAGTGTGTGGTGTGTGTGTTTGTGTGTTATGTAGGTGTGTTTGTGGGTGTTGTATGTGTGAAGGTGGCCGTGTATGTGGGTGAGTGTTATGTGGGGGTGAGTATGTGTACGCGTGGGTGAGTGTGGGTGAGTGTTGTGTTATGTGGGTGTGAGTGTGCATGAGTGTGTGAGTGCTATGTGTGTGGTGTGAGTGTGTTTGTGTGAGAGTGTTATGTGGGTGTCTGTGGGTGTTGCGTGTGTGAATGTGGATGTGCATGTGGGTGAGTGTTACGTGGGTGTGTGTGTGGTGTGAGTGTATGTGTGAGTGTTATGTGGGTGTTTGTGGGTGTTGTGTGCGTGAATGTGGATGTGCATGTGGGTGAGTGTTATGTGGGTGTATGTGTATGCGTGGGTGAGTGTGGTGAGTGTTGTGTCAGTGTGAGTGTCCATGAGTGTGTGGTGTGTGTGAGTGCTATGTGAGTGTGTGTGTGGGGTCTGAGTGTGTGTGAGAGTGTTATGTGGGTGTTGTGTGTGTGAATGTGGCTGTGCATGTGTGTTATGTGGGTGTATGTGTATGCGTGGGTGAGTGTGGGGAGTGTGAGTGTGCATGAGTGTGCATGAGTGTGTGGGCACAGAATTTATCTGATCCCAAACCATTTTCACACCTACTCTCCCATTCGGAGGCCCATTAAAGGCCCCCCAAGCACTCCCCTGTCCCTCCCGCCTGTGGAAGGGCCGCTCCTGCTCTGAGGTCTTCTAGCACAGCCCATCTTGCACAGTGGCCATTTCCTGCTTGCATGGTAGTTATTTGTACCATTGTCTCTGCTCCTTCTAACTGGACGTCTCCTGAGGACAACACAGCGTCCGGTCTGTCGTTGTCTTCCCGAAGCCACCAGCACACAGTAGGTGCTCAACAAATAGCTGGTGAAGGCTGGGCACGGTGGCTCACACCTGTAATCCCAGCACTTTGGGAGGCCAAGATACGAGGATTCCTTAAGCCCAGGAGTTCGAGACCAGCCTGGTCAACATAGCGAAGCCCCGTCTCTGTTTAAAATGTATATAACTGGTGAACTCGTATCAACCCACCCCCCAGCTCAGTGTTCTCCACAGAGTCCTTGGGGGTGTTTTCTCTCCCCTACATTTCTGCTTTCAGCCCCAGAAACACCTGCCCCGGCAGCCTGGGGTGGGTGGGTGGGACAGCAGCTCCCTGCAGGCTTTGGTGAGGGTGGCCCCACCCGGAACTCCACATGAGGTCAACCTCCCTGGTCTGCAAGTCATCACAGAGAGGCTGAGAACCTGGCTGAGGCACTGGAGGGGCCGTGCGCGGTGACGGGACGCGCTCAGCCTTCTAGGGGCCTCAGTTTCCCCTCTTGGCACTAGGAGCAGCACCTTCCCACCCACTTCACAGGCCGTTGCAAGATGATAGCGGCGGCAGCTTTTGAAAAGCTCTGAATGATATCAGACAACAAATCACAGCACTGAAAAAACAGGTCTAGTGCTTTCGGTGTGAGAAAAGGTTATTTTTCAGTGTGCTGAAATACTGTACGGCAATTAAGTTGCTGAAGATGGATTTGAATGAACTAAAACTTAAACGTGGCAGAGAGAAAGCAGCCTGAGGCATGGCTGACTCTGCTCTTTGGTGTGGAAATGAAGCCCAGCGGCCTGGGGCTTGGCCTTTGTAGATCAGCCTCCGAAGGTGAAGCTGGAATGAGGGAAGGCATCTGCCCCCAACACCAGGTGTCTGAGGCTCTGGCCCCACCCCACAAAAGGGAGACACTCTCCAGCAAAGCTGCCGCTAAGCAGGGGCTCGGCGGTGACTGCAGCTGGTGCATCTTTTCTTGTTTCCGTTTTGCTGTGGTCACTTGATTTTAGAAGTTGCTGGAGGTACCTGTCCACCCCCTCCTCAGACAAGGGGCTGGGTTGGTTTGCAGGTAGAATCACTTTCCCTTTTCTCTGGACTTGATTTTCAGGCCAGTGGACTTGCGCAGCCTTTGTTTTGGCTGTTGTCCCTTCTCTAGTCCTTGCTATGTTGCTGAATATTAGCACAGTATTTGTAAGGGAGGGTGGGTTGGAGTAGAATGAAAATTCAACCATTTTTGCCTGACAGCAGATTTGATAGAAGTTTTAGTAGAGGAGAAGTTAGAATTTAACTCATGATTCATTAAATATATGTTTTCTATATTTCTTCTTATAAGAGATTTTCGACATCAATCATGTATCAAAGAACAGAATATACATACAATTTCCATTTTGTCAGTTTTATCCAATTCATCCACATCATGCAGAAACAGAAGTTTCCAGTAGATGGCGCCAAAGTCTGTCTTTTCTCCGCCTCCCTGCGCGCTCTTCGTTGTTTCAAGATCCGCACATCAACCAACCCTCCAGAAAATGACATTTCTTTATCAGCGCAGACCAGCACGAGGTGCTCTCCACAGCAGAAAATCCCAGTAAGATGTCTGGCAAGAAAAATAGCCCCAAGAGTTGTAGCCCTGGGCAGTAAAACCAGAAGCCAGGAATCCTGGTTTCCAAACAGTTGATGGGTTTTGTGCCAGTTCAGTTTTGAAGCAACGGCCCTGCGGTACTGAGGGTCAGAGCCGTCTCCCATCTGCTCCCTCTCTTCCTCCCACTGGCCCCCATGGAAGCAGCTGCCCAAGCTTCTTGAGAAGGTGAGTGCCGGAACTCCAGGACAGGAAGAAGACTCTAAGCTTGGTCTTAAAAGACCACAAAGCGGCCTGGCGCGGTGGCTCACGCCTGTAATTCCAACACTTTGGGAGGCCGAGGCGGGCTGATCACGAGGTCAGGAGATCGAGATCGTCCTGGCTAACACGGTGAAACCTCGTCTCTACTAAAAATACAAAAAATTAGCCGGGCGTGGTTGCAGGCGCCTGTAGTCCCAGCTACTCGGGAGGCTGAGGCAGGAGAATGGCCTGAACCCGGGAGGTGGAGCTTGCAGTGAGCTTGCTGGATCACTCCAGCCTGGGCGACAGAGCGAGCCTCCATCTCAAAAACAAACAAACAAAAAACACCACAAAGCATGAGATCCAACAGCCTGGGCAACATGGCGAGGCCTTGTCTCTAGAACAAAATTTTAAATTAAAAAAATTAGCCAGACATAGTGGTGTGCTTGAGCCGTAGAGGTCAAAGCTGCAGTGAGCTGTGATTATGCCACTGCATTCCAGCCTGGGCAATAGAGTAAGACCCTGTCTCAACAAACAAACAAACAAAAAGCCAAACAAACAAAACCCCACGAGATCCTAAGGTTCCCATGGCCTTTCTTCTTGCACTGGGCCCATGACTCTGCCTCAGGCTGTGACCGGGACATGAATGGAGAGGAAGGAAAGGGAAATGGTAAAGGGGGCAGGATTGTCTCCAAGTACTTCCCCAGGTCCAGGGGAAGAGGGCTGGCAGGTGAGGAAACCAGAGAATGGGAAACCCAGGCTGAACCCTGATGTTGAGCCCGAACGCTGATGCACTGCCGTCTGTGTGCATAGCACAGTGAAAACTGCAAAGAGATGTGGTTCCTGGCCTCCAGGAATTAACGATCAGGTGGAAAGAAAGTTCATTCCACCCAGGGATGCGTTGGAGCCAGCTAGCACCTTTGAGCTGATTGTGCACGTCTCTACACAATGACACCATGACGTTGTGTCAGTAGTTTCAAATCCGCCATGTGGCAGTATTCACACCAGAGAAATCAGCGAACTCCACAAATCAGGGCTCCCTCCACTCCCCCAGAGCTGAACTTTAAACATTTACCTGCATGCTGGTGACTCTGCCTCACTATAGCACAAACTGCTTAAATAAAGGTGGGGCGGGACATTTGGTCACAGTCGGGAAGCAGTTGAAAGTGTCATGGGTTTGAGTCTAAGGTCAAGCTCTTCCGCTGATTGACTATCTGACCCTGATTATCTCCACCTCAGCCTCTGCCTCTCTTTAATGAGACTGATGCTATCTACCCTAGTTAGTTACAGAGTGGCTGGGAGGCTTAAATGAGATCGGTCTGTGTGGATACTATGTAAATTATAATGGATTTTATCAAGGTAATAGATGCAGCTTTAAAACATTCATAAAATTATGAGAATGAGGCCTACCAAATCCCAGTTTCATAAGGATACATATGATAATGCATATTTGTTTGATTTCCCATTTATTTAATAACACTTATTGACACTACCCATATGCTAGACGCTGCTAGTTGGGCAGTCTTAAGAGAAGATGTAAAAACACTTTGTAGATTACAAAGCTTTTTTTTTTTTTTTTTTTTTTTTTGAGATGGAGTCTCACTCTGTCGCCCAGGCTGGAATGCAGAGGCGTGATCTTGGCTCACTGCAACCTCTGTCTCCAGGGTTCAAGTGATTCTCCTGCCTCAGCCTCCCAAGTAGCTGGGACTACAGGCATGCATCACCACACCCAGCTAATTTTTGTAGTTTTAGTAGAGATGGGGTTTCGCCGTGTTGGCCAGGCTGGTCTCCAACTCCTGACCTCAAATGATCCGCCTGCCTGGGCCTCGCAAAGTGCTGGGATTACAGGTGTGAGCCACTGCACCCGGCTGATTACAAAGTTGTTTTTTTTTTTTGGTTTTTTTTTTTTGAGATGGAGTCTTGCTCTGTCACCCAGGCTGGGTGGAGTGCACTGGCGCAATCTCGGCTCACTGCAAGCTCCGCCTCCTGGGTTCATGCCATTCTCCTGCGTCAGCCTCCCGAGTAGCTAGCTGGGACTACGGGCGCCCACCACCACGCCCGGCTAATTTTTTTTGCATTTTTAGTAGAGACGGGGTTTCACCGTGGTCTCGATCTCCTGACCTCGTGACCCGCCCGCCTCGGCCTCCCATACAAAGCTTTTATACAAGTCTTTTGTAAAGTAGAAGGCATCATGCAAGGAAAAATGTTGTTTTTCTCAGCTTTCTTCATCTTTTCCAATCTGGACACACATTTTCACTGCAACTAATATTATACCGATACTTTCATTAGACTAAAATACCTGGCAGCGGTCACAGACAATGGTGTGGAAAGGAAACCAAGACAAGAAAACATCCTTGCAATATTTGGCTGAGGCAGGAGAATGGCGTGAACCCGGGGGGCGGAGCCTGCAGTGACCCGAGATGGCGCTACTGCACTCCAGCCTGGGCGACAGAGCGAGACTCCATCTCAAAAAAAAAAAAAAAGGCCATAATAAAATTTATACAAAATTATTTCTATGTATGCCTATATGAATAGGGAAGAATATACATAAAGATATTCACAGTGGCTATCTCTAGGTGGTAAGATTATTTTAATTAGCCTTTCTTGCTCATATGTAATTTTTATTTTCTCTACAAAAATTGGCTACGAAATTTTGGAGATAAAAACTGAGAAGTAAAAGATCTTCATGCAGCTATTTATTTTGTAGAATTACAAATATGGATATGAAAGGAGCCTTACAGGTCATCTGGTTTCATAAGATGGGGAAACTGAGGCTGAGGGAGATGGGAAGGAAATAACTGAGGACTTTGAGTTTTCTCTGAATTTGCATTCTCTTTTTTCTCTCCAAATGTGTGTGCGGAGCTTTTGATAATTAATCTAAACCTGTATACTCTACAATGAGATTCTCATCTTTCATTATCTTTCTGACTTTTTGATGTATCTGCTTCCTCTGGTATGGTCATTTGTCTTTGCCTTGTTTCTAATTTTTTTTTTTTTTTTTAACATTCAACTGACTGCTTGGTTTCTCTTTTCTTTGAAAGACTCTTGATGTAAATAAGCCCTTTATCCCTATCTGGCCTCTTTAATTATATCTTCTCACGTTTGCTTTCTGCTCTCTACCGACTAATTTCTCAGAAATTTGCAAGGGTGAATCACAATGCCTCCAAGCCATGATTCCCAGAATCAGAAAATTGCTTTTTAAATTTGAGGTAGACTGAAACGTTTTTCATCCACGTATAGTATATGATCGAATACACCAGCCTTTGCTTTCTGGACCTCAGCGTTTACATCTGCCAGGTGGATGTTTTCCCAGCTTGCATGATGACTGCTTCTTGTTGAAAGCATCTTGGAAAATCTGAAGCCCTTTCCACCTCAACAGCACAGGCTGGGCTGGTGTGCTGGGCTCATCCCTGTAATTCCAGCTGTTTGGGGGACAAAGGCAGGAGGATTACTTGAGTCCAGGAGTTCAAGACCAGACTGGGCAACACAGTGAGACCCTATCTGTGTTAAAAATAAATTAGTCGGGCATGGTGGTACATGGCTGTAATTTCAGCTACTTATGAGGCGGAAAGATTGCTTGAGCCCAGAAGTTCGAAGCTGCAGTGAGCTATGATCATGGCACTGCACTCCAGCCTGGGCAACAGAGTGAGATCCTGTCTCAAAGCAAACAAAAACAGCATGAGGCTGGGTACAGTGGCTCATGCCTGTAATCCCAGCACTTTGGGAAGCCGAGGGGGGGCAGATCACTTGAGGCCAGGAGTTCGAGACCAACCTGGCCAACATGGTAAAACCCTATTTCTACTAAAAAATACAAAAATTAGCCATGTGTGGTGGCACATGCCTATAATCCCAGCTACTCGGGAGGCTGAGGCATGAGAATCACTTGAGCCTGGGAGGCGGAGGTTGCAGTGAGCCGAGATCATGCCACTGCACTTCAGCCTGGGCAACAGAGTGAGACTCTGTCTCAAAAACAAAAAACAAAACAAAACCAAAACAGCACCAGATACTTGACTGCTAGATTGCACATGAGCAAATGGATTTGGGGCTAGAGATTGCGAAAGAAGCCTAAGCCACCTTCCAAGATGTGAAGTGTTGGGCTGCACACAGGGAAAGTCCAGAGAGGCAGGGTGAAACATCAGAACAAGTGACTTTGACTCCTGTTTTTGTTGAAGCCTCTCTGTGACACACAGTTATCCAGCTTGGAACATCTCTGGGTATAGTTTGGCTCCTTATCTGTGGCCTCTTCGAAAAGTGTCAATCATGAGGGTTGAAACACCCGCCTACATACACACACACTTAGTGAATGAATTGACACAAGCCTCCAGATTCTTTTTTGAGAGTAGAATAGCACTCACTGTCCAATAGAAATATGATGCAGGCCCCAAAGCTGAGCCATATATGCAATTTAAAGTTTTTAGCAGCTTCTTTTTTTCTTTTTTTTTGAGACGGAGTTTTGCTCTGTCGCCCAAGCTGGAGTGCAGCAGCACGATCTCAGCCGATCTCAGCTCACTGCAATCTCCGCCTCTTGCACCCAAGCGATTCTCCTGCCTGAGCCTCCCAAGTAGCTGGAATGACAAGTGTGCACCACCATGCCCTGCTAATTTTTGTATTTTTAGTAGAGACAGAGTGTTGCCATGTTGGCCAGGCAGGTCTCGAACTCCTGACCTCAGGTAATCACCCCGCCTCGGCTCCCAAAGTGCTGGGATTACAGGCATGAACCACTGCATCTGGCCATTAGCAGCCTCATTTAAAAAGGTAAAAAGAAATATGACAATAATTATAATAACATAATCAATATTTTAAATGATTGTTGAGGGCTGGGCACGGTGGCTCACGCCTGTAATCCCAACACTTTGGGAGGCCGAGGCGGGTGGATCACCTGAGGTCAGGAGTTCAAGACCAGCCCGACCAACATGGAGAAACCCCATCTCCCCTAAAAATGCAAAATTAGCTGGTCGTGGTGGTGCATGCCTGTAATCCCAGCTGCTCAGGAGGCTGAGGCAGGAGAATCGCTTGAACCTGGGAGACAGAGGTTGTGGTGAGCCGGGATTGCGCCATTGCACTCCAGCCTGGGCAACAAGAGTGAAAGTCCATTTCAGAAAAAAAAAAAAATTGTTGGAGTATTTTACATTCTTTTGCACCTACTAAGTCTTCAAAACCCAGTATGCCTTTTACACTGAGGGCGCGTCTCCATTCCAACTAGCCACAGCTGAAGTGGTCAGCAGCCACATGGGGCTGGCGGCCTGCAGGCCGGACAGCACCAGTCCAGGTGTATCCAGCGAGTTGCTGAGGATGGCAGGATGGAAAGGAGGAGTGTGAAATCGTGCCTGGAATGTCCAAGCGGATTTAATCTTATTGGTTAAAGATGTCCACTAGGTGGCGATATATGCAAGGAATGAAAATTTACTATGTGGCTGACATTGTTAATATATGCAATTATTTGTAGATATAATTCAGTATTTCCATCATCCCTGCAAGATGAGTAACAGGATGTTCACTTTGCGGATGAGGAAAATGAACCTTAAGCAACCTAGGCGTCTGGTGAAAGGGTTTCCAGCCAGCAACCGGAGGAGGCAGGAATCATGCCAGGTGTGTCTGGTGCCGGAGCCCAGAGGCTTCCCAGATCCGCACACTTCATGCTCACTCATCTGCCAGCCACACAGAGGTCCTGGATGTCTGGTGGGCGATGAGCAAGCGACAGAGAGTCCGTGTGATGAGGTTGCTCAGGCTGATGTGACAACAGTGAGAAGAGGCGTCTCATCTCATCCCTAACCAGACGGGGTTAGGGATGGCGTCTTGGAGCAGCCAACCGGAGAGATTGACATCGCTGATAAAGAGGTAGATTCACACGACCTCATCTTTGTCAGTGCACAAAATGGCTCCCTACAGCCCACTGGTGACCCGGCTGCAGAAAGCTCTGGGTGTGCGGCAATACCATGTGGCCTCAGTCCTGTGCCAACGGGCCAAGATGGCGATGAGCCACTTTGAGCCCAATGAGTACATCCACTATGACCTGCTAGAGAAGAACATTAACATTGTTTGCAAACGACTGAACTGGCCTCTGACCCTCTTGGAGAAGATCGTGTATGGACACCTGGATGACCCGGCCAGCCAGGAAATCGAGCAGGGCAAGACACCTGTGGCTGTGGCCGGACCACGTGGCCATGCTGCAGTTCATCAGCAGTGGGCTGCCCAAGGTGGCCATGCCGTCCACCATCCACTGTGACCATCTGAAAGAGGCCCAGCTCGGAGGCGAGAAAGACCTGCGCCAGGCCAAGGACATCAACCAGGAAGTTTATAATTTCCTGGCAACTGCAGGTGCCAAATATGGCGTGGACTGCTGGAGGCTTGGATCTGGAATCATTCATTAGATTATTCTGGAAAACTATGCATACCTTAGGGTTCTTCTGATTGGCACTGACTCCCACACCCCCAGTGGTGGCGGCCTGGGGGGAATCTGCATTGGAGTTGGGGGTGCCGATGCTGTGGACATCATGGCTGAGATCCCCTAGGAGATGAAGTGCCCCAAGGTGATTGGCATGAAGCTAACAGGCTCCCTCTCCAATTGGACCTCACCCTAAGACGTGATCCTGAAGGTGTGGCAGGCATCCTCAAAGTGAAAGGTGGCACAGGTGCAATCGTGGAATACCACAGGCCTGGCGTAGACTCCATCTCCTGTGCTGGCATGGCGACAATCTGCAACATGGGCGCAGAAATTGGGGCCACCACTTCCGTGTTCCCTTACAACCACAGGATGAGGAGGTACCTAAGCAAGACGGCCGGACAGACATTGCCAATCTAGCTGATGAATTCCAGGATCACTTGGTGCCTGACCCTGGCTGCCATTATGACCAACTAATTGAAATTAACCTCAGTGAGCTGAAGCCGCACATCAATGGGCCCTTCACCCCCGACCAGGCTCACCCTGTGGCAGAAGTGGGCAAGGTGGCAGAGAAGGAAGGATGGCCTCTGGACATCCGAGTAGGTCTGACTGGTACCTGCAACAGTTAAAGCTATGAAGATCCCGGGCGCTCAGCAGCTGTGGCCAAGCAGGCACTGGCCCATGACTTCAAGTGCAAGTCCCACTTCACCATCACTCCAGGCTCCGAGCAGATCCACGCCACCATTGAGCGGGACAGCTACGCACAGATTTTGAGGAATGTGGGTGGCATCGTCCTGGCCAATGCTTGTGGCCCCTGCATTGGCCGCTGGGACACGAAGGACATCAAGAAGGGGAAGAAGTACACAATCGTCACCTCCTACAACAGGAACTTCACGGGCTGCAATGATGCGAACCCTGAGACCCATGTCTTCGTCACGTCCCCAGAGATTGTCACAGCCCTGGCCATTGTGGGAATCCTCAAGTTCAACCCAGAGACCAACTACCTGATGGGCAAAGATAGGAAGAAGTTCAAGCTAGAGGCTCTGGATGCAGACGACCTTCCCCAAGAGGAGTTTGACCCAGGGCAGGACCCCTACCAGCACCCCCCACAGGACAGCAGTGGCCAGCACGTGGATGTGAGCCCCACTAGCCAGCGCCTGCAGCTCCTGGAGGCTTTTGACAAGTGGGATAGCAAGGACCTGGAGGACCCGCAGATACTCATCAAGGTCAAAGGGAAGTGTACTACTGACCACATCTCGGCTGCTGGCCCCTGGCTCAAGTTTTGTGGGCACTTGGACAACATCTCCAACAACCTGCTCACTGGTGCCATCAACATTGAAAACAGCCAGGCCAACTCCGTGTGCAGTGCCAACATTGAAAACACCCAGGAGTTTGGCCCCGTCCCTGACACTGCCCGCTACTACAAGAAACATGGCATCAGGTGGGTGGTGATCGGGGACGAGAACTCGAGCCGGGAGCACGCAGTGCTGGAGCCTCCCCACCTCTGGGGCCAGGCCATCATCACCAAGAGCTTTGCCAGGATCCACAAGACCAACCCGAAGAAGCAGGGCCTGCTGCCCCTGACTTTTGCTGACCCAGGCGACTACAACAAGGTTCACCCTGTGGACAAGCTGACTATTCAGGGCCTGAAGGACTTCGCCCCTGACAAGCCCCTGAAGTGCATCATCAAGCACCCCAATGGGACCCAGGAGACCATCCTCCTGAACCACACCTTCAATGAGATGCGGATCAAGTGGTTCTGTGCCGGCAGTGCCCTCAACAGAATGAAGGAGCTGCAGCAGTGAGGGCAGTGCCTCCCAACACACCCCCAACCTCGCCCCCCAGAGCTGGCGTCATGTTCAAGTTCAGCTCCACATGCGCCATCAGCAGATCCGATCCATCCAGCCATGGGTTCTGATTCCAAGATGGTGTGACCAGACATGCTTCCTGCTCCCCGCTCAGCCCACAGAGTGACTGTGGTTGGGGGAGGTTCTTAAAATAACTTTTTAGCCCCTGCCTTCCTATTTTTAGTGTTTGGTTCCAATCTTAAGCAGCTCCATGCAACTGTATTTATTTTTATTGACAAGACTCCCATCTAAAGTTTTTCCCCTGCCTGACCATTTTATTGGTGGCTGAAGGATTCTAGAGAACCTGTTGTTCTTGTAAGGAAAACAAGAAGCCAAAAAAAAAAAAAAAATTAAAACGGCAGATTCAGCAAGCTGCTGTGGGGAGGTGTTAAGGGCAGCTGTTTGGGGGATCGCACATAACACCACATGGCTAGAATAGGGTCCAGGGTCCAGGGTATGCTGTGGGGTGAACATGTGGGGTGAGAGCAGTAGACATGTCTGCAGTGGGCACAGCACCGAGGGTATTCTACCTCCAGAGCAGTGGGATTTAAGCAGGTGATTGATATGAAGAGTTTTACTACTTAGAGGGCTCCAGACCCCAGATGCAGAGCGTTGAGCAAATGAGGCACCCTTTGCAAATTTGAATGACAAGTTTAACCACACGCAGTTACCCTGCAGCGTAGGACCTGTCCTAGCCAACAGAACAGAGCAAGAGTTCTGGAAGGTGTTTGATGTTTGCACCATATGCTGCGGAGTCCCACAAATCTAAACTCAAGCTCTGGCTTTGCCATTCACTAGTACCATAACTTCCGGCAACCCTTAATTTCTGTATCATAAAGTAGGAATAATGCTGGGATCAGTGGGTTGAGCTGCTGTGAGGATTAAATGAAGCATTGCTTGCAAGGTCATGTTACCAAAGCAGTCCCACAGTGGAGTGTTCAGGACCACGAGTGGATGGCGGCACCAGACTCTGAAATTCTCCTCCGGTCCCCTCCTGTGTCGCACGTACGTCAGCACGTGGCCGGGCGTGGATACCTGCCTCATGAGCCACGTGTTCATTCAGGAACTATTCCGACCTTACACACCAGGCCCTGGGCAGGGAAAGATGCTGCCTTCATGGAGCTGATAGCCTGGTCGGGGAGATAAATGGTAGTTAAATGACACAATGAATATATAAATAGAACCATGACAAGTGTTTCAGAGGGGAACCCTGTGTTCTAATTGGGGAGGTAGAGAAATGCTTGCTTGGTGTGTTAGTTTCCCAGCACTGTCATGACAAAGTACCACAAACTGAGGGGCTTGAAACAACAGGATTTTATTCTCACAGTTCTGGAGGCTGGAAGATCGAGATTGAGGTTAGGCAGGGCCGTGCACCCTCTGGAGGCCCTGGGGGAGGCTCCTTCCCGGCCCTTTCCCAGCATCTGGCATTGCTGGCAGCCCTTGGGATTCCTTGGCTTGTAGATGTGTCACTCCAGTCTCTGCCTTTGGTGTCACAGGAACTTCTCCCCTCTATCTCTGTCTGTGTCCAAACATATCTTTCCTTTATACAAACACCAGTCATTGGATGTAGGGTTCCTACTCCAGCATGACCTCATCTTACCTTGATTATATCTGCAAAGACCCCATTTCCAAATAAGGTCACTTTCACAGCTACAGCGGGGGGCAGGGTTGGGACTTCAAAATATCTTTTGGGGGAACACAAAAGATATATTGATATATATATTTCCCCTACATCATTTGGGGAAGTGATATTTGAGCCAAGATCTGCAGCTTGAGAAAATCTTATCCAGTCAAAGAGGTCAGGAAGCAGGTTCTGGGCAGGATGTGGCCTGTGCAAAGGCCCTGGGGCAGGAGGGAGCACAGCACCTACAAGGGACTGAGCAAGGGCAGAGGAAGGGATGGGCTTTGGGCACTGATTATCTTTAGGAGTGAAAGAGTTGCTAGGTATTATTATTGTTGTTTCTATATAAAGGATCACACAGGACAGGTCTCAGTGCCCCGTCCTGATGTGCTGTCCAAGCTGCTCAATCTGTTTTCCTGCTGTATGCCTCACACCCAGTTCTTTTCCCATCACGTATCATTCAGAGCAATGTGCAACCGCAAATATTTCTAAATGGGGAGAACTCAGGCAGATGGCGCGGCATGCCTTCAGCTCAGTGCACAGACTCTGCCCCAGACAACCCACCTGTGTGTCCACATTCCCCACTGACTGAGCACCTCCTGAGGGTGGGGGGCATATCATGTTAATATTTGTACATCCAACATTTCATGAAATGTTATGAACATCAGAGGAGTTTTATAAGTGTTTGCTAAATGTTACTGACTTAGATTTTCAGGGTGTGGCCAATTCCATCCGAAGGGCGTTATTTATCTTGTCACTAACCGTATCCTAGAGAAGTTATTAAGCATCCGTCTAATTCAAAGGAAAATGGGTAGATGGTGGGAGGATTAGAGAGTGGACGCCATGTTGGAATGCAGGGGTAGGGGAAAGCCAGCTTGCTAATCAGAATGTCAGTGAAGGCTGGGAGCTGGGGCTCACGCCTGTTACCCCAGCACTTTGGGAGGCTGAGGCGGGAGGATCAGTTGAAGCCAGGACTAGCCTGGGGGAACACAATGAGACTGTGTCTCTACAAAAAAAAAAAAAAAATTAAATACATTAACCAGGTGTGGTGGCACATGCCTGTAATCCCAGCACTTTGGGAAGCTAAGGTGGGCAGATTGCTTGAGCCCAGGAGTTCAAGACCAACCTGGGCAATATGACAAAACCCCATCTCTACAAAAAATATAAAAATTAGCCAGGTATGATGGTGCACACCTGCAGCCCAAGTTACTCAGGAAGGTGAGGTGGGAAGATCACCTGAGCCCAGTGAGGTCGAGGCTACAGTGAGCCGTGATGGTGCCACTGCACTCCATTCTGGGTGTCAAAGTGAGATCATGTCTCTAAATAAATAAATAAATAATTGTTCTATAGAATTTTATTGATTTAAGAAAATGTTCAGAATAGATTTATAAGTAAAAAATTTAAAAGGTATATATACATAGGCCGGGTGTGGTGGCTCACTTTGGGAGGCCTTTGGGAGGCCAAGGTACGTGGATCACCTGAGATCGGGAGTTTGAGACCAGTCTAACCAACATGGAGAAACCCCGTCTCTACTAAAAATACAAAAATTAGCCAGGTGTGGTGGTGGGTGCCTGTAATCCCAGCTACTCGGGAGGCTGAGGCAGGAGAATCACTTGAACCTGGGAGATGGAGGTTGCAGTGAGCCAAGATTGTGCCATTGCATTCCAGCCTGGGCAACAAGAGCAGAACTCCATCTCAGAGAAAAAAAAAAAAGGCATATATACGTGTGTGTTGATTTGTGTATAGAATAAGACATGCATTTAAAAAAAAAAAGGTAGGATTGCAAGTGGGGTTTTTTCTTTTTCTTTTCTTTTTCTTTCTTTTTTTTTTTTTTTGGAGACGGAGTTTCGCTCTTGTTTCCCCGGCTGGAGTGCAATGGCGTGATCTTGGCTCAGCACAACCACCGCCTCTTGGGTTCAAGCGATTCTCCTGCCTCGGCCTCCCAAGTAGCTGGGATTACAGGCATGTGCCACCAGGTCTGGTTAATTTTTGTATTTTTAGTTGAGACGGGGTTTCTCCATGTTGGTCAGGCTGGTCTCGAACTCCCAACCTTAGGTGATCTGCCCACCTTGGCCTCCCAAAGTGCTAGGATTACAGGTGTGAGCCACCGCACCCAGCTCCGGTTTTTTTCTGTTTCTGAATTTTCCTATGTGTGCTGCATGGAACCATTATAATTAATTTTAAAAAGCAAATATATTTCATTTGTCTCTTGAAAACTTAAAACAACTCTTTATAAGAATTTTACATGTGCAAGATGGTATACTATATAGTCATTTACAATAATGTTTTAAAAGAATATTCCATAATATGAGAAAATATTCATGCTATATTTAGTGGAAGGAATAGGTTATGTAAAATATACTGTTTTTGTTTGTTTGTTTGTTTGAGATGGAGTTTTGCTCTTGTTGCCCAGGCTGGAGTGCAATGGTGTCATCTCGGCTCTCTGCAACCTCTGCTTCCCAGGTTCAAGCGATTCTTCTGCCTCAGCCTCCTGAGTAGCTGGGATTACAGGCATGCACTACCACACCTGGCTAATGTTTTGTATTTAGTAGAGATGGGGTTTCACCATATTGGTCAGGCTGGTCTCGAAGTCCTGACCTCAGGTGATCCACCCACCTCAGCCTCCCTAAGTGCTGGGATTGCAGGCATAATCCACCACACTTGGCCAATATACCATAATTTTTAAAAGGGCATTTACAGAAAGACTATCAGTAAGTCTGGTATAATACATATAAACTGTGGGGTTACCAGGAATGCATATCTGCTTCTTTATACTTTTCTGTATTTTCCAGATTTTTAATTATGAATATGAATATGAGTATGAAGCTATAATAAGAAAAGTTATTTGAAAGTCACATTATCAAATTGTTCAGGTTATCATGGCCAGGCAGGGTGGCTCATGCCTGTAATCCCAACACTTTTCGAGGCCGAGGTGGGCAAATCGCTTGAGCCCAGGGGCTCGATACCAGCCTGAGCAACATGGCAAAACCTTGTCTCTACAAAAACTATAAAAATTAGCCAGATATGATGGTGCACACCTGTGATTCCAGCTACTAGGGAGGCTGCAGTGGGAGGATTGCTTGAGCCCAGGAGGCAGAGTTTGCAGTGAGTCATGATTTCACCACTGCACTCCAGCCTGGGCAAAAGAGCAGGACCCTGTCTCCAGAAAGAAAAAAAAAAGTGTCAAGTTGAGAGACAATGGTTATTTTTTATTTTTGAGATGGAGTCTCGCTCTGTCACTCAGGCTGGAGTGCAGTGGCACCATCTCGGCTCACTGCAACCTCCATCTCCCGGGTTCAAGTGATTCTTCTGCTTCAGCCTCCCGAGTAGCTGGGACTTCAGGCACGAGCCACCTCGTCCGGGTAATTTTTGTATTTTTAGTAGAGACGGGGTTTCACCATATTGGCCAGGCTGGTCTCAAACTCCTAGACCTCATGATCCGCCCACCTCGGCCTCCCAAAGTGCTGGGATTACAGGTGTGAGCCATTGCGCCTGGCCAACAATGATTATTTTTAATTTTATTCCATGGTTTTCTATATTTTCCAAATTCTTCTCAATAACATAAAAATGATTTCATATTGTATTAATTACTACAATGCAACATTGTAAGGTCGGGGGACGCTGATGGTAGTCTACCTCCTGATCCTCTAGTATGCAGTATTTCACCCAGGGTTTTCACAAGCAGTTTCTCATTTGGTCCTCAGAGGACCCTATACCTAGGTGAGGATGGCGGTGCTGCTTCTGAGAAGTCGCTGCCTCCCCTTCTCCCTTTAGCCTCCCTGGCAAAATAAGACACTTCGATTGCGGGGCCACAGTCAGTTCTGACTCTGATATCTTACGACACCTATCAGGGATCAGCCTGGACCTGTTACCTGAGCGGGGTGTGGCCTCCTTTCCTCTGCGCTTTCCCCACACCTGAAACTCCTGATCATTCAGCCCCTTACCTCTCCCAAGCTTTCAGCACGAGCTCTCCTTCTTAGCCTTCTAAATAAATAAACAACACCTGCACAGAACACTGCCATTTTCTGTAAGCTTTTCTTCCCCTTTAAAAATTGCAGTAAAATATACATAAGACAAAATGTATCATTTAAATCATTTTAAGTGTACAATTCAGTGGGGTGATATACATAAGGCAAAATGTATTATTTAAATCATTTTAAGTGTAAAATCCAGTGCCTTTAAGTCCCTTCACGATGTCGTTGCAACTGTCACCACCATCCAGCTCCGGAACTTCTTAATCATCCGTGGGTAAGCTTTTGAAGCTTTTGAATCCATAGTCTCATAACATTTTATTGCCGTCCTCATCGTCAGGTGAGGAAACTGAGGCTTTCTTCCTTACCTTGCTTTTGTGTTTTCTCTTTAACACTTGCACTCTGGCTTTTGCCCGTGGCTGTCCTGGAACTGACTCCCTTCAGGCTGTCAAAGGCCTCCTGGGGGCTGAGTTTCATGGGCTGCTTCCTGGTCTTGTCTTGTTTCTGGTCTGCAGCATTTGACAATCTTGTTTTCCAATCTCTCTTAGAAATTATCTCCTCCCCAGGTTTCCATAATACTCTCTGTCTTGAGTTTCCTACTACTAATTCTTGGGTGTTTTCTTGTCCTTTTCTTTTCATGTTTTTCTGTTTGATTGTTTTGTTTCTTTTTGTTGTTTTGAGACGGAGTCTCGCTCTGTTTCCTAGGCTGGACAGCAGTTGCTTTATCCTAGAACTTATGATGTAGCTGCCTGTGTGCCCATCTGTCTCCACAACAGAGCAAGGTCCTGGAAGCAGAGGTCGGGGGCGTGGGGGAGGTCTTGCTTGTCCTCTTTATGTCTCAGTGCTTAGTGTACCTTATATTTGGACAATGAATAAATAAATGTGCGCTGCTCTAGAAAAGAGATCATTGTCTCAATGGAGTGAAAATCAGTAAGGGGTAGGTCTCGGCTCACTGCAACCTCCACCTCCCTGGTTCAAGTAATTCTCCTGCCTCAGTCTCCCGAGTAGCTGGGATTACAAGCGCTCACCAACCCGCCAGGCTAAATTTTTGTATTTTTAGTAAGAGATGGGGTTTCACCACATTGGCCAGGCTGGCCTTGAACTCCTGACCTCAGTTGATCTGCGGGCCTCGGCCTCCCAAAGTGCTGGGATTACAGGCGTAAGCCACTGTGCCTGGCCCCTTTTCATGTTTTTATGTTTTGAGACGGAGTCTCGCTCTGTCACCCAGGCTGGAGTGCAATGGCGTGATCTCGGCTCACTGCAACCTCCACCTCCCTGGCTCAAGCGATTTTCCTGCCTCAGCCTCTCAAGTAGCTGGGATTACAGGCGTGAGCTACCACCCGGCCTCTTTTCATGTTTTTAAATTAGTCTCCCCTTTTTATTTTATTTTATTTTTTAGATAGAGACAGGGTCTCGCTATGTTGCCCAGGCTGGTCTCGAACTCCTGGACTCAAGCAGGTTCTTTTCTTCAGGCTTCTCCTTCTCCTGCCTCAGGAACTCATCCTCACTCCCTGCAACGTTTCAATAAGCACTTGCCTGGTTTGCCTGCCTCTGGCCTTGCTAATTAGACAACTACGATCTTTCTACCAGGAAAGTGTGATCCTGCCCTCAAGTCTACAAGGGCGGCCTGAGCTGACATGATAACATCTAACCTCTTTAGTTAGATATAGGATGTCCCTTGTCATCTGGCCCCTGGTGACCTCTAACAATATCCCCATCCCACTCCACCCCTTTACAGTCTGCAGTAGAACCGTCTGCAGTCCCAGTGCTGGAAGCCCAGGCTGCCTCATGCCTCCCTGTCTCTGCATACATGGTCGCTTTATCCTAGAACATATGATGTAGTTGCCCGTGTGCCCATCTGTCTCCACAACAGAGCAAGGTCCTGGAAGCAGGGGTAGGGGCGTCGGGGAGGTCTTGCTTGTCCTCTTTATGTCTCAGTGCTTAGTGTACCTTATATTTGGACAATGAATAAATAAATGTGCGCTGCTCTAGAAAAGAGATCATTGTCTCGATGGAGTGAAAATCAGTAAGGGGCAGAGTAAGGACTGGACATCAGGTCTTGGAAAGTTCTGACCCTTCCCACTATGTAAACATCCTTTCTACTGAGGGACCTCACGGGGTGACAAAGCCTTAGAGGAAATGTACGCAGTCTCTGCATGGTCCTAAGAAAATAAAGGAAATAAAGTAAGTGTTGTAATCCTGGACTGGAGTAGAAAGACTTCTTAGGGGGAGGCATTTTAAGGAGGGTGGAGAGGGGGATGCTTCCCGCCTCCGGATCACAGTCTACGAGAGCTTGCTGCTTTAGATGAGCCCACACCAGACCGAGACACAGGCAGAGCGGTGCGGCTGAAAGACATCTCTGCATCAGAAAACTTGAGTCCTGGTTTTTTCTACATCTGCCGCTGACTAGCAGATCTCAGAAGGCCCAGCAGCCTTCAGGTGTAAAACAAAGGAGTATTTTCCATCTCTTTCAACCCGAAAATCCAGAAAGTGGGGACATCTGTGTTTGAAGATTGTTCAACATTTTTCAGATTAAACTGATCCACATTTTCCAAGGTATCAAAGTGGTGGCTGCATCCTCTCATGGTGCTGGGAATCACAGACTTCTCCCCTCACCCTTGATTGTGACCTGATTCTAGAAGACGGTTGCTGATAGAAATGTCCAAGTTATTCAAGGGGCTTCTCTAGAGGAAACAACTTCCATTTCACTCTTGATTCTCTAGAGGAAATATAACTTTCGTTTCACTCTTGATTCTCGAGAGGAAACAACTTCTGTTTCACTCTTGATTTTCACTATTTTCACGTTACGGGTTGAGATAAATGGCCTTAGATTTGACTCATCGAGGAGAGAGCGATTCTGCCTAGAGTTCTTTGAAAGCCGGCTGTACTGAGTGAGATCCTAGGTCACTGCAGAGAAGGAAAGGGAAGAGAAGTGGGGAGGGAGAGGGGAACAGAGAGGGGCACGGAGAGGGACAGGGAGATTGGTTTCCTTTGACAAACCCAGCTGGTTTCCTCGGTAGTTGTGTGTGGTTTCCACCAAACCCACCTATCACTTAGTTAGGACTGCTAATTAGGGGGCAGAGATGAGGACTGCTGTCTGTAGTCGTAAAGATGGTTACTAAGCAGGAGGCTGAGCTGGTGGTTGCAGCTGACACTGGAAATTCACCCAGCTTCGCCCCCCGGGAGATGTGCCACCCCTACATCGTAGGCAGCTGTGGGCCACAGGCATTTCGTTCTCCAAAATCCTACATTCATCTTACTTCATTTAATGTTTGCAGCCACATAAGAAGTAGAAAACATAACTTGATTTCCAGATTAGAAGACTGAAGTTTGGACAGAAAAAATAACTTGCCCAGTGTCACCCAGCGGGCACACGGAGGAGCTGGGATTCAACATCAATGACTCCAGGACCATGGTCTGTCTCCACGAGACTAGTCTACCCACCTCGATTCTCTGCCTGGTAGGCCTTCCCCACTTTTCCACCTGCTAAATCAATCACACCTGGTTGCATCTCTCCTTCTTTCCTCCCCTAACCCAAGACTCTTTTTTGTTGTTGTTGTTTTGGAGATGGAGTTTGCTGTTGTTGCCCAGGCTGGAGTGCAGCGGCACGACCTCGGCTCACCACAGCCTCTGCCTCCCGGGTTCAAGCGATTCTCCTGCCTCAGCCTCCCGAGTAGCTGGGATTACAGGCACGCGCCACCATGCCCAGCTAATTTTTGTATTATTAGTAGAGATGGGGTTTCACCATGTTGCCCAGGGTGGTCTTGAACTCCTGACCTCAGGTGATCCACCCGCCTCAGCCTCCCAAAATGCTGGGATTACAGGCGTGAGCCACCATGCCCGGCCATATCCCATGACTCTCTAAAGCACTCTGTGGTTGTTTCTGGGTTATTTTCACTTCTCCAATTAGGAGGTAAGTTTTTTGGGGTCAAAGAGCATGTTTTCGACTTTGTTTTCATCCTATCCCAAATTGCCTGGTACCAAGCTTGGTAGCTGATGAGCCAACAGGGAACCCACGAATGACATTGTATTAGAAGACCACAGGCTTTGGGCTCAAGGAATGACCCTTCCCTTTTACAGTCCTGTCCACACCTCAACAGCCCTCTCGTAGCTCGGTGGATCTCAGCTGAATGTCAATGAGCCAGAGCTTCCCCTGACCACCCAAGCCCAAGTGTTGTCCCTGGCTATTCCTCCTCGTAGCATCTCTTTTTCCTCTTCATCGGACTTACTACAACGTGTACTCATAGGCTCATTTGAGTATCTACCTTATTTTCTCCACTAAAATGTGAACCCCAAGAGGCCAGGGACCATGGGCATTTTGACTCAAAACATATTCTTTGAATGACTTTAACAGAAACTTCCATCAACTTCTCAAAGGGCCAACCACATACGCAGTGAAGAGGGTTTCAAATGATGAATCAGGGACTTTTCCCTGTGTTCAGGCGTGAACCCCGACTCACCATGGGGTCGTATCCACATGCTCTCTCTTGACCTCAGTTCTTTACTTGCAAAGTAAGGATCATGGTTCTAGTCCCATTTACTCTCATAGGCTCTTGCCTGGAGAAAGTGAAATCATTTTAGCCTTGCTGTGTTGTTAAAGCCAAGGCCTAATGCCAACGTGACTAGTTATAAGCCCCTTGAGGAGGGGCTCATGTCTGACAAACACTCTGTCTCTCTGTCCCTCTCAACATAATTTTTGTGAACAGGCCAAGTAGATAAACAACTCAAAAAAATAAAAATATACAAAATGCATACAGTGACAACGTTCCCTTGCTCCTCTGTCCACACCTCCCCAGGTCCCACCCTTAACCATTACTATTGGTTTTATTCATAGCATTCCAGAGTTTATTTTTTTTTTTTATTTTATTTTACTTTATTTTCTGAGATGGAGTCTTGCTCTGTTGCCCAGGCTGGAGTGCAGTGGCCCTATCTCGGCTCACTGCAAACTCTGCCTCCCGGATTCCAGCAATTCTCCTGCCTAAGCCTGTCGAGTAGCTGGGACTACAGGCGCCCGCCACTATGCCTGGCTAATTTTTGTATTTTTAGTAGAGACGGGGTTTTGCCACGTTAGCCAGACTGGTCTCGAACTCCTGACCTTGGGTGATCCACCCGCCTCGGCCTCCCAAACTGCTGGGATTACAGACGTGAGCCACTGCGCCTGGCTGCCATTTTAAAATATACAATTAAACCATTATGGACCACAGTCCTCAGTGTGTGATCAAATACTCAGTATTATTCACTCTTTCTATTTTCCAGAGTTTCTATATCTGCCTACAAGTAACCATGAAAGCACTTCCCCTACAGGATCATGTCTTACCCTTGCAAGCTTTCCAACTGTCTTGCTCCATGCCCAACACCAGGTAAATCTTTAGTAAATTCAGTACATTTAGTAAATCTGTTGGTGGATTTGATTAACTAATGATCTTGAAACCAACACATTGGACAAGCAACAAGGTGAGTTTGCAATGTGTGTTACAGACGGATGAAAGCACACGCTGAACAGGGCCTACTCCAGTGAACCATCATCTGCCTGCATCTTTCCTGTTCCAGTCCAAGACCAATCCGGATACTTGGGCCTTGTTTTGTTTTGCTCTTCCTGGGAAGTGTCAGTTCATTGGTCGTTACAAGGATAATAGGAGTTACTTCCTGACTGCATGAAAAGTACATAGAACAGAGCCTGGCACAGAGAGAGAAGCCAATGAGCAGCAGGAATGATGATCACAGGCAATCTTCCCTTCCGCCACCACTCACCTCAGATGACCTGGTGAGCCTTGTGTCACAGGCTGGGTACTTCCCCCGGAATTCACATGTTGAAGCTCTAACCCGCAGTACCCAGAATGTGACTGTATTTGGAGAGAGGGCCTTCTCTCCAAATAGAAGGAGGTAATTAAGGTAAAATGAGGCCATTAGTGTGGGTCCTAATCGGATATGACTGGTCCTGATGAGAAGTGGAGATTAGGATACTGACACACACAGAGGGAAGCCCATGTGAGGACCCAGGGGAGGGAGGCTGTCTGTGACCAAGGAGAGTGGCATCAGGAGAAACCAGCCCTGCCAACGCCTTGGCCTCCAACTTTCAGCTTCCAGAACTGGAGATTTGTGTCATTCAAGCCTCCCAGTCTGTGGCACTTTGTCATGGCAGCTCAAGCCGACTAGCACACCTTGCCTAGCCCTGCTTTTCTCAAATATGTTCAACTAGAGAAGTTGTCTTGATTGTTTAGAGCCAAGCCCTGTGCTGCTACAAGGGCATAGGCTGAACCAACCACCTGTCAAGGAGTTTCCATGCAGAAGGGGGTGAAGGAGGCTTCACCCTAAGGTGAGCCCCTTGACCCTCTCCCCAGGAATTCTCCAGCTATGCCTGGGGATGGAAGCTGCCTTCCTGACTACTCTTCTGTTGTTGTTAAGCGCTGGGGTCTCACCCTGTCACCCAGGTTGGAGTGCAATGGTACCATTACAGCTCACTGCAGCCTCGAATTCCTGAGCTCAAGTGATCCTCCTGCCTAAGCCTCCTGATTAACTGGGACTGGAGGTGCACATTACCATGCTAGCTAATTTTTTTGATCTTTTGCAGAGATGAAGGTCTTGCTATGTTGCCCAGGATGGTATCAGATTCCCGACCTCAAGCAATCCTCCCACCTCAGCCTCACAAAGTGCTGGGATTACAGGTATGAGCCACAGACCTGTTCCCCTGGCAGGTCTTTGAAAATGCACGCAGGGCTGCAGCAGCCACAGCCCTGCCAGAGAGAGAAGCCCCCATTTGGGGGTTGTGGGGAAGCAGGCATCTGCCAGAGATTCCACGTGGTTCTGGCACGTCTCAGGCCAGCCTGGGCTTTAATTCCTTGGCTAACCCTCCTTCCTTTCTTGCTGAAGTAAATGAGATATGGTTTATGACGTTTGCAGCTCAGGGGGTCTTGACTAATATAGTCTCTATGGAGTCAGATCCTGATGTTCAGCTACTCTTGGTCAATGGTTCCTGCCGGGGCTCTGGCCTCTCACTCCTGTAGTAGTGCAGGGCACTGCAGGGCCACTCATGTCCTCTCTCACCTCTGGGCCTCTGGGACAAGCCTCTAAGCAGAGTGGATGTCTATGCTGAGCAGCATCTGCTGACACCAACCAGACCACTTCTTCTGATGATGGTGACAGTTGCTCAGGTTCTCACCAAGAGCCTGGGGCTCCCTCCTGTGGGCTTCCCTGGCACAGTTTGCCGATGGTTATTTAAGCACATATCACAAGGGTGGGTGTGTGTCTGTCTTAGGTTATGATCTGAGAGACCAAAATAGACACCCCTGGCCAGGTGTGATGGCTCATGCCTGTAATCCCAGCACTTTGGGAAGCCAAGGTGAGAGCATCCCTTGAGCCTAGGAATTCAAGACCAGCCTGAGCAACATAGGGAGACCACACACACACACACACACACACACACACACACGCACACACACACACACACAAGCCAAATGTGATGGTGCACACCTCTAGTCTGATGTAGGCTGATGTAGGAGGATCACTTGAACCCAGGAGGTCGAAGCTGCAGTGAGCCATGATTGTGCCACTGCAGTCCAGCATGGGTGACAGGGCAAGACCCTGTCTCAAAAGCAAAACAATACAAAACAAAACAAAACACCAAAATAGACACTCCTTTATCAACTAAGACAGATCCTAAGGTTAAGGAGCCAAAAGTTATTAACAGGTCGAGGGTTCAAAGTTTGGCTGGCATGGCAACTTCTTAAATTCCTACAGGAAAAACCACACTCTTGCTAAACTCCCTAACAACAGGAGCTAGCAAGCAAATTATCCTAACTCTGATTTACAACCCAGACCACTAAAACTTTCATTGGACAGAGGACCATCTTACAAACGCTCTTTCCTGATAAGCAACTGCACACCTCCAGCCAGTTCCAATGTGACTTAGAGACTGCACACAAACTGTCTGTGTCCTCTAGGTTACCTTTGACATAAAGAGCCAAATTCCACCTCATTTTAATCTAGGCCCCCCACAAAGTGAACATGGTAAACATATGTGTTTACCTATTGCACACTGAGTGCCCCTCATAAATATGTATTGATTTTGCCCTAAACTTGCTGAATATGCGGACTCTACTTTGTAACACAGACTCTACCGTGTAACACCCATCCTGCCCTCTCCCTCTTTGAAGAGCAAGCACTTTCAGTCCAAGCTGGAGACCATCTCTTCCTGGTTTGCAAACTAATATCAACCAACAAAGCTCTCCTTTCTTTCTTTTTCTTTCTTTTTTTGGATGCAGTCTTTCTCTTGTCGCCCAGGCTGGAGTGTAGTGGCTCAATCTTGGCTCACTGCAACCTCCACCTCCCAGGTTCAAGCAATTCTCCTGCCTCAGCCTCCCAAGTAGCTGGGACTACAGGTGCCTGCCACCATGCCTGGCTAAGTTTTGTATTTTTAGGAGAGACGGGGTTTCGTCACGTTGGCCAGGCTGGTCTCCAATTCCTGACCTCAGGTGGTCTGCGGGCCTTAGCCTCCCAAAGCGCTGGGATTGCAGGCGTGAGCCACCGCGCCCAGCCCAAAGCTCTCCTTTCTACCGCCGAGCCACCCTGGTAGTCTTTTGCATGGCAGACTTTTCGAGACCTAGGCCTGTGTCATAATCATCTCCATAGTCTCAGCACTTGCCACAGTGCCCAGCACGTGTGCTGCTTTCAACCAGCTGGCGAGGTCTATGTGCTCCCAGCCCATGGTGGCTCGTCAGTCCCTCAGCTCCCAGGAGTCCTGTGGGTGCTCACAGAAATGCCAACCACTGTCCAACATCAATTTTTTTTTTTTGAGGTGGAGTCTCTCTCTGTCGCCCAGGCTGGAGTGCAGTGGCATGATCTCAGCTCACTGCAACCTCAGCCTCCTGGGTTCAGCCTCCTGAGTAGCTGGGATTACAGGCATGCACCACCACACTCGGCCAATTTTTTGTATTTTTAGTAGAGACAGGGTTTTGCCAGTTGGCCAAGCTGGTCTCGAATCCTGACCTCAAGTAATCCGCTGGCCTCGGCCTCCCAAAATGCAGGGATTACAGGTGTGAGCCACCACGCTCGGCCAGCATTGACTCTTTTACAGCTTGCTGTTGTGGAGTCAAGAAGGATCCAGACCAAGATCCAACCTTCACAGCAGGTCAGAGTTAAAATGTCATTACTCGAGCAGCACTTACTGGAGCAGAACAGAACTGGCTGCTCACTGGCCCTTGGCCTTGCTGCCCTTGCTGCGGGGGGACCAGAGTCCAGAGCCTGGCTGCATATTGAAGGACACCAGCCAGAAAGGGCAGCAGGGGGAACTGCAGTTCGTAAGGTCATCAGCTCCAGGGGCCACTACTATGGCCGTGGAATTGGCTGTTGTCATCCCAGGTTGGCGGAAGTGGTGGGTCCTCACTGGGCTTTTTGGGCCACGTTGCCCTGTGGCTCAGAGCTAGACATGAGGCTTTCTGGGCCAGCTCTGACCTCAGTTAGCTGTGTGGCTTTAGGGAAGGTCCCTAACCCTGAGCTTCCTTTAATCGTCTGTTAGACAGAGAGAACAATAATTATACATTAATAAAGACATGTTTACGGATGAACAAAATACTGTGTGTTAAAGTGTTCAATTCTAACACCTTAAAAATGGTTGTTTTTGGTTCGTTTGCTTGTTTGGTTGGCTTAACTCCAATCTGTGGTCCTCCTCCCCCTCTGCCTCTTATGGTCTGACCTTCTTAGGGTTCTCCAAAACCTGCTTGCTCTCAGTCCTCGCAGCTCACACAGGCTATGCTATCTGACCCCCTACTTTTCTGTGTACCAAATCTTTTTACATTCCTAGTTCCTACTTGTCATTTGAGCCCTCCCTAATTGTATACTTCCTTCTTTCCATCTTAATCCTGTGATTCTCAGTCCCGGAGCTGGGAAATGTTGCACCTAGTAAGTGACTGCTCATTTCAGGGCCATGCGTGGCTGAGTCACTTGTTATTTTTGTTTTTTGTTTGTTTGTTTGTTTGTTTGTTTTGAGACGGAGTCTCGCTCCGTTGCCCAGGCTGCAGTGCAGTGGCGGGATCTCGTCTCACTGCAACCTCTGCCTCCCAGGTTCAAGCGATTCTCCTGCCTTAGCCTCCTAAGTAGCTGGGATTACCGGCACACACCACCATGCCTGGCTAATTTTTGTATTTTTAGTAGAGACGGGGTTCCACCATGTTGGCCAGGATGGTCTCCAACTACTGACCTCAAGTGATCTAACCACTTCGGCCTCCCAAAGTGCTGGGATTACAGATGTAAGCCACTATGCCCGGCCTAATTTTTGTATTTTTAGTAGAGATAGGGTTCGCTATGTTGGCCAGGCTGGGCTCGAACTTCTGACCTCAGGTGATCCGCCCACCTTGGCCTCCCAAAGTGCTGGCATTACAGGCCTGAGCCACTGTGCCCAGCCCCAAGTTAGTTGTTATAAGGGGCAGAGAGATAAAGAGTGAGACAGACCAGCATCTATCTGTCACCAATAATGTAAGAACAGCCCAAGGTCTTCTGTCACCACCGTTAAACTGTCAGGATCAGCACCATTCGTGGCTCCCAATTGGTGGGCTCTCATGTTCTAGATGTAGGGCTAGGCACTTACATGCATTATTTTATTTCATTTTCGCAGTAGCTCTGTGAGGTTGATGGCCTAGTCTGGACAGGAAGAGCGGTGGGTACTGACAAGGCTGTGCTTACAGTACATCAGTGAAGCACAGCACTTGTGCATCCCAGCAAAGCTCAGAGCGACCCATTTCTCACCTCAGTAGCTGGCATCCGCCTGCCAGTGGCCTGCCTCATTCTCTGGGGTCCCAGCCCGCTCCAGAAACTCACCCAGCTCGCTGACAGGGGACTGTGCAGGCTGCTGCTGTAACCTGGTGGTGGGCTGTCATCAGACGGCCATAGAGGATCGCCCTGAGGCTTGGTTGTGGAGGTTGTCAAAGCAGAAGGCTGGCAATATTCCCATGGCCCAGAACGTGCTGAGGCAGCATATGTGAGTCAGGCCATGGCTGCTGCAGCCACAGTGGGGCTTTGTGCTGTGATCGTGTGCAGAGCAGAGCAGCCACTCAGCCATCCACTGACTCTCCAAATTGCTTCTGAGCACCTATAATTCCAGTTCTCCTGGGAAAAGCCCTGCAAGACCCGGGCTTTCCCCTACCCTGTTCTGCTGATTCCTTTTGGTTGATTTCCCAGTATGAGATCCAGCATTATTCCTTTTGAAATTGCAATCCCTGCTGTTTTCCCACATTGAGAGCACAACTAAGAAGCACTTTCTTAAGAATCTGCTTCCAGGTGCTCTTGGACCAAGTTTAAGTTCTCTGTCTACTCTAGTAGGGTCCGTCTATTCCCAGGGCATCTGTCTGAAGCGGGGCCTCTGCTGGCCAAATCCTACTAGCCAAGACCTGGATCTCCCAGAGCTCAGAAAGCTCCCACTAGCAGGGCCCCTTGGCTTGCCTTCCTGCCTCCTTTCTCTCCCTTTGTCCCCTAGTGTCCAGATGAGAAGACACAGGATGGCTCTCGTCCCAAGAAGGCCTTCGCTTGTGCTGTGGGCACAGAGGTCTTTCTCCCCTCTCTGAGCACAAAGCAGTCACTGTGCTCTGCCGAGCAGAGGAAAAATGCAAATGGTGCTCTGGGTGTGGCCAAGTTCCTTGGGCCCCAAGTGCTGGCCTGCATTCTTTATGGGGTAGCCTTTGTTTTCCCTTTCTGCAGGCTGTGCCTGAAATATGAAGATTACTTAAAACTCATACTATGCCAGGACACGGACACCACAATAAACTGGGTAATGAGTGTCAACTCAAAGACTATTTAAGATTAGTTGCTGCACAAGAAAACTTGAAATGTTCTGAAAGCTTATGAACCATAAATGAAAGAAAAGTTCATTCATCACAATGTCCTCAAGCTTGAAAACAACCGTAAGAATCTACAAGGCTAACAACGAGTTGCAAAGCTGAAACAAACTCTCCTGAACCTTAATAACAAAAACAAGGTGTGATCAATTGTGCAAGAGGAAAGAAGTATCTTCCTATTCCCTCTACGGAAAGATATTATTACAGAATTATTCTTTCTGTTGTCATTTGTTTTATTTTTTATTTTTATTTTTATTTTTAGAGACAGGGTCTCATTTGTTTGCCCAGGCTGGAGTGCCGTGGCATGATTATAGCTCACTATGGCCTCGAACTCATGGGCTGGAGTGATCCTCCAACCTCAGCCTCCCAAGTAGCTAGGACTACAGGTGTGCAGAATCATTCTTATATTAAGAGGGGTATACAGCCAAAAAAAATGCAGAGGAACCTCGGGCAATTACTAAGCAAAAACATTGCATTATTCTTCTGAGTTTTGTGATATGTGTAGTATTGGTCAGCGTCTGAAACTTTGTAATTTGTTCCAAATAAATTTCTTGTTCTAAATAAATATTTACTTTAGTATTAAATTTTGCATATGTAATTTTATTTTTTCTTTCCTTAAAGAGGATCTCTAGTATTGAAGAAGGTTGCAGGCCCCACAAAAACTGGATCTGGCCTGGCCTCTGGAACTGCTTTCTCAGCACTGCTTTCAACGTGTCCCTCACCTTCATTCCTTTTGCCCTGCCCTGGGGCCATAGGTAAAGCCTTTCTTGCATAGTTCACCGAAGCCTGGAGATTTCAATTCTATCAATAGCTATACATGTTGTGTGCCCAGGGACACCCATAATAGCTAATTTTCCCTGCAGTGCGTGAATGTTATACTCCTGAAAGCAAGATCTGGTCAGTTCTCAGTCCCTTTGATGTAATGAAGTTCTGTGGGTACAACCAGCCACCTCTTTCTGCATGAGCTCCTTGAAACACTGCCTTTTCTGGAGATGAAAATGGGAACCAATTAGGAAGAACACTGAACGTTATCAGGCAGCTTAAATGCCTTTGCAAGAACTCCTGGTAAGCACTGGATCTAATTTTCCCCTCCGAAACTTGAGCAAACCACTCACTATGACTTTCCTGGAGCAGGAAATTATGTTGTTTTTTTTTTTTTGGGTGGGGGGAACAGAGTCTTGCTATGTCACCCAGGCTGGAGTGCAATGGCTTGATCTCAGCTCACTGCAACATCCGCCTCCCGAGTTCAAACGATTCTCCTGCCTCAGCCTCCTGAGTAGCTGGGATTACAGGTGCACACCACCACGCCTGGCTAATTTTTGTATTTTTAGTAGAGAGGGAGTTTCACCATTTTGGCCAGGCTGTTCTCAAACTAATGACCTCGTGATCCACCCACCTCGGCCTCCCAAAGTGCTGGGATTACAGGCGTGAGCCACCACGCCCGGCTGAGGTTATGATGTTAAGATGCTTCTTAGGATTCATTTATAGTAACAATTTCATTCTGTTTCCAGGTGAATAGGAAATAGTCTATGTTCTTGACCTTTTAGACTAAATTTCCTTTTTTGTCACAGATCCACTTAATAATACCAAAGTTTTAATGAAATTATTGAATCATTAAGAGAGCATTTCTGAGCAACTCTAGAAGGGCTACACCATCTGCCTGTTTGCTTAGGTACTAGTTAAGGATTGTCCTCGATTTGGAGTTTATTATAAAGAATCCCACTGGAACTACCTGCTTGAATTAAAATCTGATTTTTATCTTTTGACCGGAGGGATGAAAACAGTCTAAGACAGATTTATGGCGATAGTTGCACAACTTGGTGAAGTTACTGAAAATCACTGACTTATACACTTTGAAATGAGTGAACTTTGATTTGATAATGTTTTTAAAAAGTCTGATATGCTTAATGGTCCTTCAGTTTAGGAATCACAAACACGAGAGCATAAAATAGGCATAAAATTCACGTATATCTTAGAAAAAGTACAATTCGTTAGTTAAAATAGGAACTTTCAAAACACTCCTGGCTTTTACACAAGAATAATCTTAGCTTGTAAAACCCTACTTATCACGTATGCTATCTTACCTACTCCTTGAATCTCAGCATTCCTAAAACCTTTGAAACTCTTAGCATTCAAATTTTAAGATTGTGACTTAAACCAAAAAACTCACAAAAAACGTAGACTCTGTCCTGAGTGGCTAAGAACAAAAACTCCAGCCAGTGAATCAGTTGTTCATTCAGTTATGAATCCAACACCTAATATGTGCTGATCTTGGAAGTGAAGAGATAACTCTGTGTTTCTATCACTTTAGGTTTGGTGAAGCAGGACTTGTCATTGCCTAGAGCAAACAAAAAGTCTTTTATGGGCAGAATTCAGAGACTAAGAGCCACATGACACTAAGTTTTCAAAGCTTGAATTTTTAGAATTCTACTGTAACTGCTGAGGTAGTTTCCTCTAACAATGTACAACTATGAATATAAATAAGTCCAGCCTGATGATGGGATTCTCTGCTATTAGGTCAAGGTTTCCATTTTTTAAGGGGCCTGCACTCCTTAGTTGACTGACATTCCTTCTGGCTAGAGTTGTTTTTTCTGGGGGCCTCTATTAATATTCTAGATTGAGCAGGCTATGACTGGTTATATGGTTCCTAATGATAATTTATTTCTATAGCTGGAATCAGCAGAACCAAATGGTACAAAGTATTCCTTCCCAGGGAAATACTAGCACAGATTTGGTTGTCGAAACAAGCTACTCGCCACCTTGGAAATTCTAGTCCTCTGAAGCAGAACACAGACAGATACGTTTTATTGGGCAGGAAGTGTGGGAGGGGTCTGTTCGCTCATTTCAAGTACACAAGTCATCGATTTTTAGTAAATTCACCAAGCCTTGCAACTATCACCATAAATCTGTGTTAGACTGTTTTCATCCCTCCAGTCATAAAATACAAATCAGATCTTAATTCAAGCAGCTAGCCCCAGTGGGATTCTCTATAATAAACTCTGGGAGGGGTATCCTGCATGCTGCTGTCAGCAGACTTGGAGGAGCTTCACACTGGGGGTTCCTGGATTCCTGAGCAGTATAGAGGCAGGGTAGGAGGTTTGGAGCTGCAAGAGATGCCTGTTGGTAGCCTGATCTCAGAGACCAGCCAAGTTGCAGAACAGGAATTCTGTCTTTAGCTTGCCTTCTTTTCACTCCCTAAATATTTCAAAGGAAATAGAAAAGAATTCCTGAGGACAGATAATAAAAAAGATAATCTCATGCAAATGTGATGTACATTTTCCAAAACGTGAATTTTCAACTTTTTTTTTTTTTTTGAGATGGAGTCTCGCTCAGTCACCCAGGCTGAAGTGTAATCGTGCGATCTCGGCTCACTGCCACCTCCACCTCCAGGGTTCAAACGATTCTCCTGCCTCAGCCTCCCGAGTAGCTAGGACTGCAGGCACCCACCATCATGCCCAGGTGATTTTTGTATTTTTGTAAAGACAGGTCTTTACAAAACAGACATGTTGGCCAGACTGGTCTTGAACTCTGGACCTCTGGTGATTCACCCGCCTTGGCCTCCAAAGTGCTGGGATTACAGGCATGAGCCACCACGCCCGACCAATTTTCAACTTTTAACAACACGCATAAAATAATCTGGGAAGATCTGTAACAGTATGGAAAAGTATTTGTCCCCATCTGGACTTCCAGCACGGGCACTCCCTTTCTCCACCTGGGAAATTCCCTACTTGAAGAGAATGAAGTGGAAGCTTCCACCATAGAAGCGGCAGATGCCAGGGAGTCATGCTCCCAGCCACCCTTGCTAAGATGAGAGCACATGGTCTAGACTCTGCTAATCAAACGCCCCTGCTCCAGACTTTGAATTGGAAGAGTGTGACTTAAGGAAGCATGGACTGCATAATCTACTCTAGAGACGGATTCATTTATCCAAAACCCTTTGTAACCTCTTCCCTTTGCCTGTCCCTACTATAGAGGCTGGATGTGCCAAATGAGTGCTTCCCTTATAGCTCTAGATGGCTTATGGCACACTTCTGGCCCAAAAGATGTAGGTGGAGGCCTGACTTGGGATTTTTTGGTAAAACCTTGTCCTCCTGACATAGGAGTCACTCTTTCTGTCTTCTTCCAATTTCTGCCTTGAATGCAAATGTGATGGCTGGAGCTAGAGCAGCCATCTTGCAACCACGAGAGGACAACTCTGAAGATTAAAGCCAATATGCTAAGGATGATAGAGAAGAAAGACAGATAGGGCCAGGATCCCTCACAGATTTTTTAAATGGTTGAATCAATGCTTGCAACAACTGACATCCAGATATGTAAGAAAGACAAACATTTACTATTAATCTATTATTAGACAGATTTTCTGTTACTTGCAACTTTCTTCTTGCCTAACTGATACAGGCAATTTCCAGTGTCCAGCACTAGTATTTCCTGTGGGGCAAACTACTAGTATCAGAGCCAGTGGTAGGGGCAGTGATATTATTCTAGAACCAGTCCTGCAGCATCACTTTGGGTATCATTCCTTCTTCTTAATCTCCAAGCTCCTCCAGCACTCTTGGAGATTTTGTGAACCACATAATGTGCCTTTTAATGAATTCTTTTTCTGCTTAAATTAACCAAATCTTACTTCTGTTGCTTGCAACCAAGAACTCTGGGAAATATAGAAATAGACACCGGGAGTATTGGTAGCCACATACTCTCAGAGAATGGTGAGAATTTGAGCTTGGTTATCTGGTCTGGTTGAGCTGGAGGAAAATGAAAATTCAGATAGTGTTAAGACGGTTCATGGCATAAATTGTCATTTGTGGTCACTTGCGGTAAAGGTAACCCAGGACAATGAAGATTCCATTGACATTAAAGTTTTCAGAAACAGAGTGATGCTGCTAGACAGCAGTATGAGGGACACAAAGAATTTAAGAGCTGTGGGGAAAAGTGGTTGATTCTAGCTTGAGAAGCAAATAGCAAGGGCTGAAATTCTAGTTCAAGGCACACAGTCTGAAAACCTAGGACTTTTGATGACTTTCAATGAAGATGCTAAAAGACTATTTTATCTTTTGCGACCATGGCCAAAAGGGAGAGCCTGTGCATTTCTGGTTGGTTTTCTTTATTTCTTTCTCTCTCTTTTCTTTTCTTTTCTGACAGAGTCTCACTCTGTTGCCCAGGCTGGAGTGCAGTGGCGCGATCTCGGCTCACTGCAAACTTCGCCTCCCGGGCTCAAGTGATTCTCCTGCCTCAGCCTCCCAAGTAGTGGGGATTACAGGCACACACAGGCACACACAGCCACACCCAGATAATTTTTGTGTTTTCAGTAGGGACGGGGTTTCACCATGTTGGCCAGGCTGTCTCGAACTCCTGACCTCAGGTGATCTTCCCGCCTCAGCCTCCCAAAATGCTGGAATTACAGACATGAGCCACCGCACTGAGCCAGGTTTCTGATTTTCAACATCTGTTGAATGCACAGCCTTCTCTGGTCTCTTATGTGATAGTTCGGGGACTGATTGGAAAGAGTTGGAATCAGGGGATGGAGAATGGGGACAGATGGGACTAAGGACTCAGTGCACAAAGCTCCCCTTATCACAGAAAGCAGCCCTTTCTCTCCGTGTGAGGAGGCTGTTCCTGCCTTGCTGGAAGAACTATGGTTCTTGCCTGAGGAAGTCAAGTTGCCTTGTGTCTCCCACTTCTCATTTTCTTCAAAGACAGAACTAGATACCAACATATCCCTCATTTTATAAAGCCAACCCTGGATGGAGAATTACACACCAAAATAACTACAAGACTTTGCTCTTTATTCTGGAAAAAAAGTCTTCAGAATACATGTGGGAATGGATTTTAAGGGTGCTAAACCAGAGTAGGAGGCAAAGAACATTTGTTTACCAAGAGATTCTAGTTCAATATGCTTCCTGGAGCAGAGGGAGGGGTCTGTTTGTCTGGTTCATTGGTTGAATGAAACCTGGAATTGATGGCAGCCCACATCATTCAAGAGAAGCTGAGAGGTCTGAAATTATCAAGCATAATGTAGAAGCAGGAATCCCAGGAAATAGGAATGTTGCTGTGGATTTATTGTGCAAATCCCACTCACCAATCCCCTAACTGGTCCTGGAGAGGGACCAGAAGACACTCCCTTTGTCAAGGCACCGAGAGAGACACTGGTGAGAGAAGTATATCTCAAAAGTACTGTCGTAGCTATACTCTGTACATCAGGGATGCTATTGAGAGCGGCTGGAGATGAATGGACTCCCTCATGTTTGCCAGGATCCTGGGTGCCAGAGTTCAATGGCAGCACAACCACCAGTAAGGGAGAGGTTATCCCAATAGAAGGCAAGATGATCATGACCAGTCTGAGAATGGCCAGTCTGACAATCAGAATTGCCTGCACATCAAAGATCTTTGGCAGAAACTAATTGAATATGAGCTCTTAGGACAAATGAGATGGGCGGTCCTCTGTGGACCTGCTTAATATAGTTGACAAAAGCAAAATAAAAACTCCCTAGATCTGAATTAAACCATCCCATCAGAGAATGTTGTACCCGCATCCAACTCTCAGACCTGAACTTGGATGCCAAAGAAGTGGTAAATTCCTAATCCCAGCTACTCGGGAGGCTGAGGCAGAAGAATCGCTTGAACCCAGGAGGCGGAAGTTGCAGTGAGCCAAGATTACGCCACTGCACTCCAGCCTGGGCAACAGAGCGAGACTTCATCTAAAAAAAAAAAAAAAAAAAAAGGCTGGGCACGGTGGCTCACGCCTGTAATCCCAGCACTTTGGGAGGCCAAGGCGGGCAGATCACGAAGTCAGGAGATTGAGACCATCCTGGCCAACACCATGAAACCCCGTCTCTACTAAAAAAAAAATACAAAAAAATTAGCTCGGCATGGTGGCGGGCGCCTGTAGTTCCAGCTACTCAGGAAGCTGAGGCAGGAGAATGGCGTGAACCCAGAAGGCGGAGCTTGCAGTGAGCCGAGATCACGCCACTGCACTCCAGCCTGGGCGACAGAGCAAGACTCTGCCTCAAAAAAAAAAAAAAAAAAAAAAAAGGCCGGACGGAGGGGCTCACGCCTGTAGTCCCAGCACTTTGGGAGGCCGAGGCAGGCAGACCAGCTGAGGTCAGGAGTTCAAGACCAGCCTGGCCAACATGGTGAAACCCCGTCTCTACTAAAAATACAAAAAAATTAGCCAGGCGTGGTGGTGGGCGCCTGTAATCCCAGCTACTCGGGAGGCTGAGGTAAGAGAATTGCTTGAACCCGGGAGGCAGAGGTTGCAGTGAGCCGAGATCGCGCCATTGCATGCCAGCCTGGGCAACAGAGCGAGACTCCATCTCAAAAAAAAAAAAAAAAGAAGTGGTAAACTCCCATCACTTTTTCATCTAACTGTTCAGTTGGTACACAGATGGAGGGGTCTTGGAAAATAAAACAGGTAATCATAAGCTTCATATGGTGGTGACTTCAATACAGCAAGCCCACACAGCCTCTGGAGGAAAATGGTTTTTTTCTCATTCCCAATAAGTGAAGAACTCCAAAAGCCACTTTGTCTCATCTAGTAAGGATACTTTCCTATCTCCTTCAGGGTTAGGTCAACTCTGGCTTCATGCCACAATTTGGTCTTCAGAACTCTTAATCATTTTAATGTTTTTTGGACATCACAGTGATACTATATTAATGACATCATGCTATGAGGACCCACAAGGCAGAGATGGCAGTTATTCTAGGCATGTAAGAAACATGTAAATCTCATGAGTCTACAGGGGCCTGTGACCTCACGGAAGCATTTCAGGGAGTCTAGGTTGAGATAGCTCCTCCAAAATGAAGGATGAGATATTACAGCTGACACCGCCTCCTACAGGAAGCAGAAGCGTAATGCTTTGAGGTCCTATTTATGGAAGCAATATTTGTCACATTAGTGGGCTTCTCTGACCCACTTATGGGGTGTCTCAAAAGGGAGCTAATTTTGAGAAG
The DNA here is from genome assembly GCF_000001405.40 of Homo sapiens. Taxonomy (NCBI): domain Eukaryota; kingdom Metazoa; phylum Chordata; class Mammalia; order Primates; family Hominidae; genus Homo; species Homo sapiens. The sequence goes on from NC_000001.11 coordinate 236,137,779, forward strand.
GGGCTCAAGGCAGAGGAGATGCTCCATTTGGTTCAGGCTGCAATGCCATCTGTTTTGTCATCCATGACTCCGTGGATCTAACGGTGCTCAAAGTGTCAATGGCAGATTGGAGAGGTGTACATTACCTGTGACAAGCCCTGTTAGGAGAATCACAGTGTCAGTTATAAGGGTTTGGGAACACATACATGCCTTATTTGTCAAATAACTATTTTTCTTTTGAGAGAAAGAGATGGCTTGCTCCTGGGCTGTGGAAGAGACTGAATGTCTCATCAAGAAGGCAGATTACCATGGAGTCTGAGCTGCCCGTCTTGAGCTGCATGTTATTTTGATCCATCAAGCCACCAAGTCAGGTTCCCCAAAACACCCAGCTCTACTGGAGGCTCTCAGCATTCAGGTGGACATGTCTACCTGCCCTGGGTATGGAAGACATCTTCTGTCCCCAGTTAGCCCACTGCTTATTCAATGGGCTCATGGACACAGTGACCATGCAGGCAGGGACTGACTGATCCATTTTGTAACAATCTGGACTTCCCCACCAAGGCTGACCTGGCTTTTCATGAGTATCGCCAGCCAACTCTGAGCCTTTCAAGAGGTTTCAAACTCAGGGGAAGTCCTAGACAGCCACCTGAAAGCAGATTATATAGACCTCTTTAATCACGTAGGATATCAGCAATTTGTCCTTGCTGTAATAGACAATGTTTCTGAACTTGGACTGACTTTCTTTGCCTCCTGTGCCTGCGTTATTGTCCCGGGACTTTCTGAATGCATTGCTCATCATCATGGTATCCTATACAATATTGCTCTGACCAAGGACCTCACTTTATACTAAAAGAAGAAACGTGGTAGGCTAATTTCTGTCCCTCAAGTAGCAGCTGGCCTTATCCAGTGGTGGAATGACCAATTGTAGGCTTAGTTATTGTGCCTGCAGGACAACAATGCACAGAAAGGTAGCATTGGTGTCCTATAATATATAGAATTTCTTCTGAACCCAAAGCTGACATATCGTGCTATTTGTCCTGCAGTCAGGATACATGGCTACAGGAACCAAGAGAATGGCACCTTTCACTAACACTCAGTGACTTACTTGCAAATTTTTTTGTTTCCCGTTCCTTCGCCTCTAGGCTTGGCTAGTTTGAAGGTCTTAGTAACCAAGGAGGAACTCTTCTACCCCAGGAGATTCAAGTGTGGTTTAAGTGAAATAAAAGTTGAGACCCTGGCTATTTCAGACTCCTCATGCCAGTGGGTGAATTGTAAAAAATAGTATGATGGTGTTGGCTGTGATGACAGTAACTATTAAGAGGAAGTAGAGTTGCTGTTATATGATGAGCAATAAAAGGTGAATAGACAGAATTCAATCATGGTAGTGCCTCTTGCTGCTGGCATGTCCAGTGGCAAACATTAACAAGCTTAGATTCCTCAGAAATCAGGGCTACCCCTGACTAGCTGAGATCCCTGATGAAGGGAAAGGGAAATTTTGTAACGTCCATTAAGGAGAGCAATTACAGCTTTATGACCAGTCAGAAAAACAACAACTCTAACTTATATTTTTTTCTTGCTGTGTCATATGTATGTATTTTATAAATTGATGCAAAAGTAATTGTGGTTTTTGTCATTACTTTTAATTGCAAAAAGCCACAATTACTTTGGCGCCAACCTAATAATGAATTCTCCTTTCCTTTACATTTTTTTCTTCTACTATTTTATACAGGACAAACTAGTGATGGATAACTTAATAATTTAGTCCGTAAGATACAGAATGTTGAGATGAGATGGTGACAGAATTGGAGGAATGGCTATCACCCAGAGCTCCTGGGCTTGGAGCTGGACACAGAAAATGATGATCCTTTTGGGGGAAAGAGGGAATGTGTTTTTCTGTTTTCTTCCTTCCTTCCTTCCTTCCTTCCTTCCTTCCTTCCTTCCTTCCTTCCTTTCTCCTTCCTTCCTTTTTTCCCCTCCCTCCCTCCTTCCTTCCCTTCCTTCCCTTTCTTCCCTTCCTTCCTTCCTGATGGAGTCTCACTCTGTGGCCCAGGCTGGAGCTCAGTGGCGTAATCTCAGCTCACTGCAACCTCCGCCTCCTGGGTTCCAGCGATTCTTGTGCCTCAGCCTCCCTAGTAGCTGGGATTACAGGCATGTGCCACCACACCCGGCTAATTTTTGTATTTTTAGTAGAAACAGGGTTTCACTTGGTTGGCCAGGCTGGTCTCGAACTCCTGACTTCAGTTGATCCACCTGCCTTGGCCTCCCAAAGTGCTGGGATTACAGGTGTGAGCACCTGGCTTGGAATGCTTTTCAATTGTACAAGGGTTATTAAGTGGGAGCATCTTTATTGTATTTTCAGAATTGTAAAGATGATAAGAAACATTTGACACTAGGTAGTCAAAGAGGTGAACTGTTGTAGCCATCTGGCATTCTTTTTGTCTGCTTTGAAGTCATGATAAAGATGCTAGTTTTTCCTAAATCCATTCGCCCCTTCATCCATAATTACAGAACCATGGCTTTCAGCTGTGTACAATGCCACGTGGACTAAAACTACGTTTCCCAATCTCTTGTAGCCAGCTTGCTAGGGTAATTAAGTCCTAGCAATGAGCTAAAAGTGGATGCATTATGTGGTCTTTCTGGGAAGGCTCCAGAAACAGGAGAAAACAAGTGCTCTTTAGTCTTCCCCTGTTCCTCCTAACGCTGGCCTGGGATGTGGACTCAATGTCTGGAGAGCCAGTAGCCCTCCTGGATCATGAGGTAGAATCCATGCACACTGGAGGGAGAAATATCAGAGTCTGGACCTCTGTTGACAAACAATATTCCTTCAGTGTAATAAAATGTATACGGATGCTTTTCCAATGTGCCAGGGGAGAGACTGGTAAACAAGCCTAGTTTCTATCATAAGGACACATAAATAAGTGTGTTGCGGGGGAAACTAACAATCAGGCAAGGATATTAGGGAAGCACACAGGTGAAACACCTAGCCTAATCCTGAGAGTTTGGTGGGTGGAGAGTTCTGGAGAGGCTCTCTGCAGGAAGTTACACCCTCATGGATAGCTAGGAAGGACCAGCTGTTGGAGGAAAGGGCAGAATTTTCTTAGTCTAGGGGAGTCAGGAGGTGTTAACACTGCTTAACACCTTGGAAGAGATAAGGCAGGGAGGTAAGCTAGGGTAGGAGTTTAGACTCTAACCCCAGAACTATGAGGAGCAAGGGAAGGGCATTTAAGCACGGGAGTAAAGTGGCCAGGTGTTCTTTAGAGCGATCATTCCATCATTCCACTTGCGCTGTTCAGAACGGGGATTGAGGGGAACGAGATCAGAGGCGTGGAGCCCAATTCCGTATTTCCTCTTGAAATAGCGATAGGGAGAGAGGGAAAGGATAGAAAAACTGGAAAAGGAGCTCCACGCCAAAGGCACACTTGGCCCCAGTGAACCACCTGGAATACGCTGGGAGCGCTGTAACCACTAAGTAATTCTGAGCAAAAGCTAGGGTGGATTCTGGATATGCCAGGCCGTCTTTTGGAAAAAGAACACACAATTAGGCACGAAGTGGAGTAAGAAAAGAAATCACAATTACTGGAGCCTCGGAAATCCGAGTTTCTTCTGTTTACCAGAACCGCTTGCCCAGCAATGTTTCCAGAGGGCGCCCGGCTTTCCCTCTTTTCCCAGAGCACTCCCCAGCTCTCCCAAGACAAGGGTGGCGTGGTGCCCCGGGGCAAAGACTAAGTCGCTGTACAGCCTCGAGGAGCGAGCTGCTCAGCAAAAGCAAAAGAGAAGGGCTCTCGGGTGGCGGGGACAGACCCTCCTTCGGCATGGGTTGGATCGGACAAGGGGGGCCGTGTGCCGTCAGCTGCCCCACTTCTCTCTGAAGCCCAGTGGGCTCCATCCACTGACCCGCGGCCCGCGCGCCTCCCGGCACCGGCTACATCGCTGGGAGGTGAGGCGCTGGGAGCGCGTGAGGCTCTCCGGGAGAAAACAGCCCAGCTTGCATCCCAGAGGAGGCAGCAGCCGCAGGCACCGTCTATTTCCTCACTCAGTATACAAATTTGACCTCAAAAATACGAACCCTGTCTTTGGCATGTCTGCATTTAGAAATAAACATCATTCCAGACGCCGGCCAGTTCATAGCCACAGAGTCGTAAAGTTTTATTTTTAAAGGGGGGGACGGAAAGGACTTGTAAAGTTTTTTTTTTAAATTTGTTTTTAAATAAAGGAATTAACTTCTGCAAAACAAGCAATCAGCAGCAGAATGCGCGAGGCCACGAGTGCGATCCCCCGAGGCGCGGGGCGCGGCTGGGAAGTTTTGGGGGCGCGCGGCGCGGTGCCGGGACCGGGGAGGAGGCGCGCGGTTCTGGGGGCGCGCAGTGCGGGAGCGCGCGGCCCCGGGGATGGGGAAGGGGCCGGGGACGGGTAGCGCGCGGCCCCTGGGATGGGGAGGGGGCGGGAAGGGGGGAAGAGACGCGGGGCTCTGGGGGCCCGCAGTCTGGGAGCGCGCGGCCCCGGGGATGGGGAGGGGGCCGGGAGGAGGCGTGCGGCTCTGGGGGCGCGCACTGCGGGAGCGCGCGGTGGCGAGGATAGGGCGGGCCGGGGTTCGCGGGGCGAAGGCGCGCGGTGCCCGGGGGAGGGCGGGCCGGGGCGCGCGGGCCGGGGCGGGGGCGCGCGGGCCGGGGCGGGGGCGCGCGGGGCCGGTCGGCGCGCGGGGGCGGCGGGCGCGGCGCTGCCAATCGCAGACAAAGGCCGTCCCAGTGAATCATGTGGTGCCGGGGGAGGAAGTGCGGCTTGTTTTCTTTCCTCCAGTCTCGGGGCTGCAGGCTGAGCGCGATGCGCGGAGACCCCCGCGGGGGCGGCGGCGGCCGTGAGCCCCGATGAGGCCCGAGCGTCCCCGGCCGCGCGGCAGCGCCCCCGGCCCGATGGAGACCCCGCCGTGGGACCCAGCCCGCAACGACTCGCTGCCGCCCACGCTGACCCCGGCCGTGCCCCCCTACGTGAAGCTTGGCCTCACCGTCGTCTACACCGTGTTCTACGCGCTGCTCTTCGTGTTCATCTACGTGCAGCTCTGGCTGGTGCTGCGTTACCGCCACAAGCGGCTCAGCTACCAGAGCGTCTTCCTCTTTCTCTGCCTCTTCTGGGCCTCCCTGCGGACCGTCCTCTTCTCCTTCTACTTCAAAGACTTCGTGGCGGCCAATTCGCTCAGCCCCTTCGTCTTCTGGCTGCTCTACTGCTTCCCTGTGTGCCTGCAGTTTTTCACCCTCACGCTGATGAACTTGTACTTCACGCAGGTGAGTTTCAGAGAGGCTCCTGGAGGCGCTCACCTGGCGGGGTGGTCCCCGCGGGGCGCCCGAGGCAGGGGCGATGGCAGCCGCGGGGGCGGGTCCGGCCCTAGGGCTGAGAGTGTAGGGAGAAGGCGCCGGCTCTGGGGTCGTCCGAACCCTGTCCTGTTTGCGGGCATTTGTCATAGGAAACCCCCTGCCATTCCCAAAAGGGGCAAGGAGAAGGCAGGGGAGGGCTGGAGGCCGCCGCTCACTCGCTGCCCCTGGCTCCGCATCGTGCGGTGGATTCGGGGCGCTTCTCCGTGCGCAGCGCGAAGCAGCAGCGCCTGCACACGCCAGTTAGTACGGATGGAAGGTGTGCCCCCAAGGGAGGCCTGAACTCTAGAATTTGCCCTGCCTCCCCAGGCACCTAACTCCCGGCCTGGAAAGGTCTTCTGCACGTTGGCCTCCAGATTTGGGCCTGACACTGCTGTTTTGAGCGTTGGCAGGGTGAGACCATGTTGGTTTTGATGAGATGTTTTGAACCTCCGGCTTAGGAGCTCTACAGAACTGCGGCTTACTAACTCATTCCACCGGATTGCTAAACAGCAGGCTGGGGTAACACCCAGCTCCGAGCTGCTGCCGCTCATCAGAGTTACTGTCTGAGCTCATCTGAGAGGCCCCAAGAAAAGGCCATAAAAGCTGACTGGGGCTCTTTTACAGCCACACAAAAATCACTTTATGGGGCATATTATTAAATAAGCTAATGGGAGAGTATGTGAATTAACTTGGCTGCTGCTTTACTGCTGATGGTTGACTTAATGAAAGTGCAGTAATTGTTGAGCACTTTGCAAATACTTTGTATAGCGTTGCACAAAGGTTTAATAACGCGGTGCCGCCGTCATCATCGTCATCATCATCTCTGATTCCCATTAGCTTTCCAAGCACTAAGATGTCCATTTTCACTAGGACTCTGCCGAAGGGGAAGGCGTCAACGGTGTCACCTGGTGAGGGTAATTTCAGAACTGTCGGATGGGCAGAAACCCTGTGCAAGCAGGCATCTCATTCCTTTTAAGTGTCTTTTTTTTTTTTTTTGAGAAAAAGTCACTTATTTAAAAAAAGAAAGAGGCCGTATGCGGTGGCGCATGCCTGTCATCCCAGCATTGTGGAGGCGGAGGCGGGAGGATCGCTTGTGTCCCTGAGTTTGAGACCGGCCTGGGCAACATGGCGAAACTTCCTCTCTACAAAATGTACAAAAATTAGCTGGGTGTGGTAGTGCCCGCCTGTAGTTCCAGCTACTCAGGAGGCTGAGGTGGGAGGCGGAGCCCGGGAGGCGGAGGTTGCAGTGAGCAGAGATTGAACCACTGCACTCCAGCCTGGGTGACAGAGCTAGATCCTGTCTCAAAAAAACAAACGAACAAACAAACAAAAAAAACAAAGTAGGAAAAGGATTGCTCTGGTACAGTGGAAGCCACTGACTGAAAATATGGAAGAAGTACTTTTGGCTAAAAAATAGCATATGTGATATTTTGTAGATAGTATAATCTTTTAAAAATGGGTCTACACTCAGACTTCTTGTAAGTCCAGCGCATCAGCATATTTTCCGGTCGGAGAGTAATGCGTATTGCCTGTCCAAGTACAACCTTTAAACCTGCAAACCAGTTCAGGCAGTCGGCTGCATTGCACAGACACTTGGGTTTTGTAATTGAAATGAGGTGGTTCTAGCAAGATGCAAAAGACAGGTGAGGTGATGTTACCCTAAGAACTGTGACAATGGTGGTATTGCACGTTGAGCTCTTTATATTTGTCCCCTTTTTGGGGGGCAGTGGGGGAAGAGGAAAATGCAGGGAACTGCCACAGCTCTCTGGTAATCACATGCAAATTCTGAACTTAGAGCCGGATTAGGGGCCGGGCTGCACATTTTCTGCACCATCTGCTGGTTGGTGAGTAAATGCTGAGCAAGGGAAACAGTGACCAGGCAGACAGAGCCACTCCGGCCCAGGGGCCCAAAGTCACGGCCCTGTACTCTTTATATCTCCCAGGTCTGCGGGCACCACAGCAAAGGCTTTTCGCCTGAGGGCACAGGGTGGCTGGCTGGAGAAGGTGGCATGTCTCCATCTCTGAGTGCTGGCATCTCAGAGCCTGGCAGAACAAAGCCATTTCTGGCTTAGTGACAAAACTGTGATACTTCTGGGGAGTTATAAAGCCTTTTGTCGCCAACCCAGCTCTGCCTCCCTTCTCCTCCTCTCCCGCTCACCCCCTCTTTCTCTTACACAAACCATTGGAATTACCTAAAGTGGGGAGCTTTAAGAATGACTGTTGCTTGGGCCCCCATCTCAGACCAAGTAAATGAGATTTTTGGAGAAGGGGCTGACAGCTAACAATTAAGAAGTATGTTTAAGAAAGCATACTTTCGATCTCGGCTCACTGCAGCCTCCGCCTCCCGGGTTCAAATGATTCTCCTACCTCAGCCTCCTAAGTAGCTGGGACTACAGGTGTGTGCCACTATGCCCAGCTAAGTTTTGTATTTTTAGTAGAGACAGTGTTTCACCATGTTGACCAGGATGGTCTTGATCTCTTGACCTTGTGATCTGTCCACCTCGGCCTCCCAAAGTGCTGGGATTACAGGTGTGAGCCACCGCACCCGGCCAAGAAAGCACACTTCTAAGCAATTGGTTATATTTATTTTTACCAGAACTCTCTGAAGAAAGTACCGGTATTGTCCCCATTTTCCAGAGGAGGAAACTGAGGCTGAGAGGTCGTAGATGACTTGCTCAAGGTCACACTGTCAGTGCATGGTGGAGCTGGGATTCAACACACATCTGTGCTGTCTGAGTGTGAGGTTTGTCTTTTATGTACAGTATGTGAAACCTCTTTTTATTTTATTTTTTGAGATAGAGCCTTGCTTTGTGGTGATCTGGGTTCACTGCAACCTCTGCCTCCTGGATTCAAGCGATTCTCCTGCCTCAGCCTCCCGAGTATCTGGGATTACAGGCACCTGCCACTGCACCTGGCTAATTTTTGTATTTTTAGTAGAGATGGAGTTTTGCCATGTTGGCCAGGTTGGTCTCAAACTCCTGACCTCAAGTAATCTGCCCACCTCGGCCTCCCAAAGTGCCGTGATTACAGGTGTGAGCCACCGCGCCTGGCCATGAAACCTCTTAACAATGGGAAAACATACCCAACTCTAAATCTAACCTCGTGTTCTCCTGGAGCGCAAAATCAGGTTGCAGAGAATCAAAGTATACATACAGCACAGTTAAGGCACGATTTGCGGCACTGAAGGGAATGGTTATTGAAGCGTCAGGAGACTTGAATGAGACATGAGTCCTCTGAGAAGAAGCAGGTGTCTGGAGGCTGAAGCTGGGTGGGGAGGAAGAGAGGATGGTGGGAAGGAAGTCGTGGGGGCAGTTTGGGAATTGGGAATGAACTGGAAGGAGAGGTCCGAGATGGGGAGGAAGCTTTTTTCTGTTGTTGTCAGTCCTTTGTGCTTTTGCAGGGTCCCTGTACCTGGGCCTTACTCATCTCACCCTCCCTGGTGACCCAGAGGGTACTGTTACCCCCCAACTGAGGCTCGGAGGGGTGAGAACACTTGCCCACACTGCCCCGTCCGAGCCTCCGTGCAATGCACACGATGCTGCAGTACGCAGCCCCGGCTGCCCTTGGGTACACATCTGAGGGTAATGCGATCATGAGCAAGCTCAATTTGATTAACTTACCCCTAAATCACTGCTTTTAAATTCTGCCATGTTAAGTCTCTTTCCACCCCTAATGACCTCTCAGGCAGATCCTATGGCTTTCTAGTCATACTCGGTAATTATTATTATTTTGGAGTCTGGCTCTGTCACCCAGGCCGCAGTAGTGTGATCTTGGCTCACTGCAACCTCCGCCTCCCAGATTCAAGCAGTTCTCCTGCCTCGGCCTCCTTAGTAGCTGAGATTACAGGTGTGCGCCACCACGCCTGGCTAATTTCTGTATTTTCAGTAGAGACAGGGTTTCACCATCTTGGCCAGGCTGGTTTTGAACTCCTGACCTCAGGTGATCTGCCTACCTCGGCTTCCCAAAGTGCTGGGATTGCAGGCGTGAGCCACTGTGCCTGGCCCATACTCCTTTATTAAATCTTTACGTCTGATTTAAAGCTTCTCCCACACTGTCCAAGGCCAGCCAGGCTTCGAGCTGCAGGGCTTGGTGCAGAGGGTGTGCCCATGCTCTCAGCCTCTCCCCTTCCATCTTCCCAGGCAGCCCAGGGGAGGGGCACACTCTCTCGTGACTGCCAGCGTGTCGGCCTCTGGTCTTGCTCTGGCGCCGCCTCTGTGGGTAACTGCCACGTGGCCATGTTGACATGATGGACTTCAGCTTCTTCCTAGCCCCATCTTTGGTCTCCCTTCCATCCCAATTCCTTCTTCAGGGGGCAGCCACATGGCTTTAGGCCCCTTTTCGAAAAGCCCTTTTAGGGCTTTTTCTTAGAAAGCCATGGGATCACTGAGGCCCCTCCACTCCCACTTGGCCACATGGGTGACAGGCTGGATGCCTAACTAGCGTCTTCAGGACCCTGCACCTGGCTGCTTTTCACTCCTTGCGTGCCTAGGGGCCCTCCCACCTGTAAAAATCCCAGGTGGAAGCAAGCATCACCCTCCAAGTGCCTGGTGCCTCCAGATCACCAGGGCACAGGTCAGGCTCCACCGGGACTCCACCTGCAAACAGTCCCAGCTCAGCAAGCATCTGCCCGGGCCCCCTTCCTGCCCAATCCCTGTGAGCAGTGTCCATGTGTCTTTCTCCTTTCTGACCTGGGGTGAGGTGCCCTGCTGGTAGCAGGCTGTTAACTCTTTTTCTCCATCTCCACTCTCCACCTTCCAGTTCAGCCTGGGAACATGGGGAGGCGGCTGTGGTAGGACTGGTTCTGCTAACTCTCTCCGGGCCGTCTGTATGCAGTGTCTGTCTGGCCCCAAATGTTTGGAACATGGAGTGCTGACTACCTGTTGTTTCCAGCTGTGGCTCCTTGTGCCAGCTTTGGGGAACAGCTGAGCTTCTGCTCCCGGCTGCATGAGGAAGTGGCGGGACCAAGGCTTTGCACCAAGGCCTTTGACTCAGAGCCTGTTCTAAGCGCTGTGTCAAATCACCATTTTAGTGGGGACTTAGGAGAGGGGCAGGACTCTGAAACCTAAGGCAGGCAGGGGTCTCTGCTCATGAGGAATTATGGTGCCTTCTACCTCCAGGTTTCAGGATAGAGGCTCAGAAGCAAAGGCGGTAGCTTCTGTGCCCAGGCAGCTCCTGGGCAGACAGGTCTGTGCCCTGCAGGGGCAGAAGTTGATGTGGCGGTGGGCTCGGTGACACCTCGGCAGCCACGTATCCCAGCCCTTCTTCCTCGGAATTCCCAGCCTGGAACTCAGACTCTCCAGATTCCCGAGTTTGGCAGGATGGAACAGGCTGGTTCAGCTTTGTCTTGGGCCCTATGACAAACTCCTGCCATTGCAGTCACATGGTTTGCGGAAGGAAATGGAGAAGCGAGTTCTCTCCATGGGGAGAGGTGCTGTGATGAATGGACACTGATGTGGGAACTGAGACCTGAGACGTCACCATGCCTTGGAGGGCAGATGGGAAGCTGACATTTATCGGGGTCTGGTCTGTTCTGTTCTGAAACTCAGCTAGGGACTTCCACACCCTCCACTCAGCTGCAGCAGGGATGGTTCGTGAGTCATGTGGTCCTGTGGGATGGTGCCAGGGGCTCGTGGTGAGGGCCTGCGGCTCATGGTAGGGGCTCATAGTCGGTGTTGGGAGCTCATCATGGGCACTAGGCCAGCAAAGCCTTATGAATGAGGAGGCAGCCCTGGGAGTGAAGGAGCAGGGTCCCTGGGTGCAGATCTGGGTTCCAATCCGGGCTTTGCCTCCAGTGTGGGTCCCATGGCTGGTTACCACCTCTCTAAGGCTGCTGCTTCACCAGGGAGACAGAAACTGTAATACTCATCCCATGGGTCGGAGTGGGTTAAAGGAGATGCCGTGTGTCCTGAATCCCTTTGCTCCTCTCCTCCCTTAGTTGAGATTCTCACTGTGTGTTGCCTACAGCTCTGAACCTAGGCTCTTGCTTCGACACCCAGCCACTGTCCTGAAGGTCAGGTCCCCGGGCTGACCCTGCCCTTTTCCAGCCTACTGTGCCATCAAAATTACTTTTCCACCAAACAGCAGCTTTTCTGTTTGTAAAACGGTGGTGACTCTTGGCGCACCCGTAGGGAGCATGTGGCAAGCCTAATCGCAGTGCCTGACATGAGAGCAGAAGGCACTGGGGGTCCAGCAGCCCAGCCCCTCCTTTGCAGATGAGCCGACCAGAGGAGGAAATTCTCCCAGGCAGCCCAGCCAGGCGTGCAGAGGCAGGACAAGTCCCGTGTTTCAGGCTGACCGATCCGTGCTTGCTACAGACGCCACACTCTGACTTGAAGTGGGTCATAGTCCTCATTCTTGCTGGTAGGGAACTAAGAGGCCCCTAAAAGTCGAATCCAGGAACTAGTCCTCCGTGCTCACCAGGAAAGGGACGTGGGTGATTGTAGGAGTAAGGGGCTTCGGCTGTGGCTCTTGGCGGTCAGTTTAGTCAAGACGTGTTTATCAAATACCTGTCGTGTGGCAGGCCCTAGTCTAGGAGTTGTGAAGAGGGAAGCTTCTAGGCCTTTTGGTGATTGTAAAGAAGTAAGAGGCTTAGGAAACAGACAAGGCGGGCCAAGGGCAAGGACTGTGCTCAGCCTGGCCTCTGGGCCCTGCGCCCATGGCCTCAGCCCCTGGCACCGGCTCCCTGCGGAGCTAGCTCAGTGGGCTCATGGCCAGCCAGAGTTGTGTGTGCACCTAGGTGTGCGCCTTTGTATGTGTATGTGCATGTGTGCCTGTGTGCACCTGTGTGTATGTACATGTGTGCCTGTGCACGTGTGGCTGCGTGCACCTGTGTGTGTATGTGCATATGCGTGTGTGCCTGTGTGCACCTGTGTGTGTGTGGGGTTTGTGTATGTGTGCCTGTGTGTGTGCCTGTGTGTGTACCTGTGTGTGTGTGTGCCTGCCTCTGTGTGCCTGTGTCTGTGTGGGTCTCTGAGTGTCTGTGCATGTGTGTGTCTGTGCCTGTGTATGTCTGTGCCTGCGTGTGCCTGTGTGTGTGCCTCTGTTTGTGTCTGTGCATGTGTGTGCCCGTTTGTGTTTGTGTGTGTCTGTGTGCCTGTGTGTGTGTCTGTGCCTGTGTGTGCCTGTGTATGTCTGTGCCCGTGTGTGTGCCTGTGTTTGTGTGTGTCTGTGCCTGTGTGTGTCTTTGCCTGTGTTTGTGTGTATGTGCCTGTGTGTGTGTCTGTGCATGTGTGTGCCTGTGTGTGTGGAAAGGTTTCCTTATTTTCTTGGTCTGCCGTTCACCCCCAGCACCTCCCGCAGGCCACTTTCTAAACATACAGCCCAGTTTCCCGAGCCCTCTCCTCGAGCCATGGCAGCGTGCTCTTCTCTCTGCAGCTGAGGCTGTGACCGCATCAGTGCCTCGGTGATGCCCTGCCAACCGAGGGGGAACTAAATCCTGTTAATGCCCTCAGCACTCGGGGAACAATTAGGCCCCTCACAGCACATTCAGCATCCAACCCCAGTGACCATGCAGGAAGCCTGGACTTCCCCACAGCAGAGGCTGGGCTGAGGCTGCTGCCGGGTCACCATCAGGAGCGCCCTACTGTCGGCTCCGAACACTGTGGCACCTGCAGGCTTTGCTACGGCTTCTTGCTCACCTGCCTTTCCGTAGTCAGACAGGCAGAACTGGTAGTGACCAGCAGGGAGGCAGGGCCGGAGCACTGTCCTGAGGCTAGTGCAGGTTCTCAGTGGAGTTCCAGGGCCCAGCCATGGCTGTCCCGCTGCTGCTGTGCCCACCCTCTGAGCCCCAGGCTAGCTGCTCAGCGTTGAGTGGCGGGGAGTGGAGGGCAGGGGTCATGACAGTGAGGGGTGGGCTGCCCAGAGAGGAACATTTGCAAGATCCAAGACCCTCTACAAAATCTCACTGCAAGCGTCTTAGGGTTTTGCAAACAACAAAGTCATGTGATCCCAAGAGCCGCTTTTGTCAGGCTGTTCCTGTTGGCCTTGCGTTTCCAGTGAGAAGAAGAAAGCTGGTTCCTGGTTGGAAGGTCTGTCTGGGTCCTGACATTTTGGCCGGCCAGTTCTCTCAGTACAGAAATAGCCCCAGCAGACTGTTTAGACAGTACCTGGGACAACAGGCATTCCCCGAGGGCTGCAGAGGCTCATAAATATTTCACTTTTTATGTTTCCTGCAGCTGAAGCTTAGAGTCCATTAACCTATAAGGACAGATGAAGCCCAAATGGTTTTACTCTGCAAGTGGGTTGATTACCTCAAGCTTATGTGGGTCAGGATTTTAGGCCTGTGAGCCACATATGGTCTCTGTTGCATATTCATTTTTTTTTTTTTTTTTTTTTTTTGAGACAGAGTCTTGCTCTGTCGCCAAGCTGGAGTGCAGTGGCGCAATCTCGGCTCACTGCAACATCTGCCTCCCAGGTTCAAGTGATTCTCCTGCCACAGCCTCCCGAGTAGCTGGGACTACAGGTGCCCGCCACCATGCCCAGCTAATTTTTGTATTTTTAGTAGAGACGGGGTTTCACAATGTTGGCCAGGATGATCTCGATCTCTTGACCTCATGATCCGCCTGCCTCGGCCTTCCAAAGTGCTGGGATTACAGGCGTGAGCCACTGCGCCCGGCCTCCCTCCTCGATTTTTAAATGGCATACACACTTGCGAGGCTGAGCTACGCAGTCTGCAAAACACAGGGTGAAAAAACCCCCATACACGGTGGGGTTGGCTCTGTGGGCTGCTCCCACCCCATAGGCTACTCTCCCTGTCACCTTGGACTCTGCTGCCACAGCTTCTTTGTAGCTGTCAGAGGTCATGTTGTCCCATCAGGCTGTGTGACGGTCCATTTTTAGTGCATGAGTGGTGGCAGATAAGGAGGGAAGTGGGCAGGGTGTGAGCAACCTTGGCGTGCCGTGAGCCTGGCCCCATCAGGCCCACACTCATTTTCTGGGAAGACAGCACACATCTATCCATGCGAGAGGGCCTCGTCCTCCCAGCTTTCACAAAGCAACATAAAGTTCAACTGGAACATGGCGATTCATTTCATTTATTCAACAGGTGTTTTTTTTTAAATTAAAAAAATTGTATTGTCTGGGTGTGGTGAATTACACCTGTAATCCCAACACTTTGGGAGGACGAGGCAGGAGGTTCGCTTGAGCCCAGGAGTTCAAGACTATCCTGGGCAATATAGTGAGATCTCATCTGTACAAAAAATTAAAAAATTAGCCAAGCATAGTGGCATGCACCTGTAATCCCAGCTACTCAAGAGGCTGAGGTGGGAGGATTGCTTGAACTTGGGAGGTCAAGGCTGCAGTGAGCTGAGATCGCACCACTGCATTCTAGCCTGGGTGATAGAGCGAGACCTGTCTCAAAAAAATGTATTGGGGCTGGACACAGTGGCTTATGCCTGTAATCCCAGCACTTTGGGAGGCCGAGGCGGGTGGATCATCTGAGGTCAGTAGTTCAGACCACCCTGGCCAACACGGTGAAACCCCATCTCTACCAAAAATACAAAAATTAGCTAGGCGTGGTGGGCGCCTGTAATCCCAGCCATTGAGGAGGCTGAGACAGGAGAATTGCTTGAATCCGGGAGGCAGAGGTTGCAGTGAGCCAAGATCGCACCGTTGCACTGTAACCTGGGTGACAAGAGTGAAACTCCATCTCAAAAAGAAAAACAATGTATTGGGCTAGGTGCAGTGGATCACGTCTATAATCCCAGCACTTTGGGAGGCTGAGGTGGGTGGATCATGAGGTCAGGAGTTCGAGACCAGCCTGGCCAACATGGTGAAACCCCATCTCTACTAAAAATACAAAAATTAGCTGGGTGCAGTGGCGGGCGCCTGTAATCCCAGCTACTCAGGAGGCTGAGGCAGGAGAATTGCTTGAACCTGGGAGGCGGAGGATGCAGTGAGCCGAGATGACACCACTGCACTCCAGGCTGGGAGACAGAGCAATACTCCATCTCGGGGAAAAAAAAAAAAAGAAACAAACAAAAACAGACAAAAAACCAAATAAAAAAAAGACGTATTGAAGCAAAATTGACACAATATGAAATTAACCATTGAATGCATGCAGCTGAGTGATGTTCAGTACATTCACAGTATTGCGCAGCTGTCACCTCTATCTAGGTCCAGAACATTTTTATCACCCCCAAAGGAAACTTTATGCCCATTAAGCAATCACTACTCAGTCCCTGTTGCCTCAGCCCCTGGCAGCCACCCATCTGCTTTCTATCTCTGCAGATTTACCTATCCTTAATATTTCATATCAAAGGAATCATACAATGTGTATTCTTGTACGTCTTCTCCTTTCTCCTAGCATAGTGTTTTGAGGTTCATCACATTGTAACATTTATCAGAACTTCATTCCTTTATAAGGTTAAATAATATTGTGCTGCATGGATAGAGACTACATTTTATTTATCCATTCATCCGTTGATGGACATTTAGGTTGTTTCATCATGCGCGTTTGAGTGCTTGTTGTGTGCCAGACACTGTGCAGACTGTTTAAGGTCAAACTTAGATTCTCGCTGCGTGGAACTTAGCCTTGAGCAAGGAAAACAGACTTCATGTCAACGACTTCTCCATTGTGCGATTGACTGGCTGATGTGACTTAGTGGCTGTCCTTACAGTAGAGATATGAAGTGTGAGATGTTTTCAGTGGAAAGTTGAAGACTTAATTCATTCCTTCATCTCTGTGAGTCCCCCTCTAGGATACATGCTTTAAAAAGAACCAGTGGTTTTTGCTGCTATTTAAATGAAAGTCAAATCCAATTTAAAAATCTCACTGTAATGAAATCAAAATATTTCCCAAACACAGGTATTCACTGTGAAGCGATGCCAGGATGGCTGTGGAGGGAACTTCTTGGTGGAAGTCGTCACCTGTGACTTGGGCTGTTGGGTTTCCACCCACCATTGCCCTGGTCCTGCTCCTAGGGCCCCTTCCTTGGGTGCCACTGGGAGGTGAAGGCTTAGGTTTAGGTTGACATAGCAGGTGTATTCTCACCAGAACCAGATTCTGGGGCAACCAAGTTGGGCCCCTGGCTAGTCTTGGGTTTTGTGTGTGGAAGCCCCCAGACTCCGTGTCCTCCTGGGCCCTGCTCCAGGTTAAGCTGGAATTTCTGGTCTGCCTGGGTTTGTTCTCAGCGAATCGTGGGGTCCAGACCAACATGAGGATGGAAGGGTGGTGCTGGGTAACTCCCACCCTGCGCCCTGGGGCTGTGAACAGCACGCGTCATCCGTCCCCCGAGGACACACGGCCTGTCACGGCTTTGACAGCATATATTGTGTCTTCCCCGAGTTCTCTCTGCTTGGGGTCAGCTAGTCCCAGTTTTTTTCAGTATTCCTGGAGGAACGTGGGTGTGTCCTCTGCCATCCTGGTTGCTGTTCCCGAAGGCCCCAGTGAGCTGGGACAGTGTCAGGAGCAGACCAAGTCCCCACCCCTAGTGAGGAGCTTCCCCCGTTACCCACATAGCTTCCCCTCGAGGAGGCCAGATGGTCATTCTCTCGGTGGCAGGACACAGGGAGTGTCATTTAATACCAGACACGTCCAGCAAGGGCAGGAGTTCCCAGGGCATCCTAAAACCTCAGAATTCTCCTCACTTCTGAAGCAGAAAGTTATTCTGTGAGGAGGGGCAAAAACAAACTGGGGTACTTTCCCTGCGAATTTATTTTGTAGTTTTTGCATCGTTTGCCAGCAAGGATCAGGGCACGATGGTACGACACTGCACACTGCCGCACGTGGCCCGGGACCCTCCTGCCATAGGGCCCAGTGGGCCAGCGCTGGCCACCGGGAGAAATGCATCCTCTGTGCTTCTAATGTGTCACCTTCCTTAAGTACATTTAGAACAATTAGGGGCAGGGCCCTGGCTGGTAAACTGTGAACTGCAATTTGTGGTTAAGCAGTTAAGAAACATAACAGTGATGGTAGGGCCTTGTGTGGCCACAGCCCTTGTCATTCCCAAGGCCAAAGAGAGAGAATCCTGCCAGGGAGGCAGGTCAGAATTATTTGCCTCCACCTCTGTGCGGAACTGATGCCGAGACGGACTCCACCCAGGCAGTGGGCAGGCGGGCAGGTCCGTGCGCTTCTGTGGCTGAAGCGGCCGGGCCGCAGCTATTCCTGCGGGGCTTCCAGGGCGGAGGACACGGGCTGACACGGGCTGTCCCTGGGAAGGAACTTCAAGTCATGGAGCTGTCAAAGTAGAAGCAGCTTAATGAATATTTGTCCTAATGCTTTCACCTCGCAGATAGACACTGAGGCCTAGAAAGGTCGATGGAGCTAACCAGGAACCAACAAAGTAGGTTCCTGAGGGTTGACCAGCCTCACCCCTGAATCCAGGTGCTCAGGGGACAAGAGACAATTCAGAAAAGCAGGGAGACTGAAGGACGGCGTTTGGTGTGGCTTTAGGTTGACTTGGAGAGCCGCAAAGGGTGTGGGTGGGAGGTGTGCTCTCTAGAGTCCCGTCTCCTCGCGGGCTGCCTGCTGGGCTGACTTATCAATGTGGGGGCTCAGGGCCACCCTGAGTTCTGCCTTCTGGGTGGCCAGCCTGTGTTGGCGCCGTTGGATGGAGTGAAGCTCAGTTTATGAGGCTCAGGGAGGCTCTCGTGAGCCGATGGAGGGGTGGAGGAGGGGAGAGGTGCTTGCTGCCCGGAGAGCTGAGCTGCTGGGAACAGGAAGGAGAAGAGGAGCTGTTGGGAAGGGGGACAGTGAGTGGAGATGCCCTTTATCTATAAAGGTAAAGACTGTTATCCCATTATCACTTATGAAATGAGGAATGCCTTGTGAGGACCAAGGTAGGGACATCCTGGGTGGGAGCTGAGCTCCTGCCTTGTGGGGTGCACATGCACAAACATGCACACACATACACAAACGCACACACATGCACACACACGCGCGCGCGCAAACACACATGCATACACCTGAGGAAGGATCATAGGCGCCAGGTGAGCCAAACAGGACCATGCAGCGGAGCTCTCAGGAGGGCTGGAGAAGGCTGCAAACACATCCAGGGAGCTCCGAGGTCTATGGAAATCCAGAGAAGCAATTATGGTTGGCTTCTGATCACGTGGGAAGAAGCTCACTGAAGTCTGGGGGGCCCACATTCCAAGGGCCAGCACGAGGCCAGGAGCAGGCAGGACCAGCTTCTTGGGCCACATGCTTGCCAAAGTCAAAGGTGGGAGGTGATGCGGTGAACACCTGACCATGTATTCCAGTGACCCCTCTCACACCTGGCCAGCCTGGGACACAGACCAGGCACACCTTGGCTTCAGGCCACCGCCTCCCAGAACTTTATGGCATGGACAGCGTGCTTGCTTGCCTTTTCTGGCCAGTTACCTTCACTGCCACGGACACAGGACTATGAGTGGGGCTGTGGTGGTGGTTATCCAGGTCCTGAGTCCCTGGACCTATAGCCCACAGCTGACGTTTGGAAGAAAAGAACATCCTAACGCAGGCATAGAGGCCCCGCCCTTGCTCGCACTGTCTTGGAGACTGAGCCTCAAATGCAGATCCCCTCCCCGCCGCAGAGCCGCCTTGTGTGTCTTCCGGGAACCCTGCAGAAAGGAGAACTCCGGTGTCTGGATTTCGGGGACCGACTGTCTTGTCACCCTGCTCTGCTGAGTGAGGATGCTCAGCATGTGGGAACAGACTGAAGCAGCTGACTAATGACTGTTGCCTGGGGAGACCAGGGCCCTGGGGTTTGCATAATTTCCCCAATATATCAGGAAGTGGGTAGCGCAGAGGGACCAGGAGAGCAAATATCGAATGCGTCAGTGGTTCTTAACCTTTTTCAGTATGAAAGTTCCTTTTATGGTTAGGATAGCATCTGTGGTCACAGTTTAGTAGCTGTGCGTTTAGAATCATGGTTTGCGAACATAGATGAGGACTAATAATACCAACAGCAGGGGTTGCAGCCACCCACGTGGTACTTACTAGGCGGCAGGCATTTGTCCAGGTGCTCTACATGTCTATTAATTCACCAAATGCTTAGGAAAACCTGGTGGCTGGTGTTATTAGTCTCATTTTACAGGTGAGGTACTTGAGGCACAGAGCAGGCAGGTGACTTTTCCAAGGCCACACAGCTGATAATTGGTAGAGCCAGGATTCAACCCCAGGTAAGCCAGCTCCAGATTCCACACTTTTTTTTTTTTTTTTGAGACGGAGTCCCGCTCAGTCGCCCAGGCTGGAGTGCAGTGGCGCGATCTCTGCTCACTGCAAGCTCCGCCTCCTGGTTCACGCCATTCTCCTGCCTCAGTCTCCCCAGTGGCTGGGACTACAGGCGCCCGCCACCACGCCCGGCTAATTTTTTGTATTTTTAGTAGAGACAGGGTTTCACCGTGTTAGCCAGGATGGTCTTGATCTCCTGACCTCATGATCCGCCTCCCCCACCTCCCAAAGTGCTGGGATTACAGGCGTGAGCCACTGTGCCCGGCCCGATTCCACACACTTAGCCATCCTTCTGTGTCCCTCTGTCAGAGAGGGCTACCGGTTGTGGCCTGTTATATAGGAGTAGCGTCGTCTGTCAGTATATGTGGGGGACTGGTTCCAGGACCCCCAAGTATGCTCAGAGCCCCACATACTCACATCCCTGTAGAACCTGCATGTACAAAGAGTTGGTCCTCCTTATATTCAGGTTTTACGTCCTGAGAACATCGTAGTTTTGATTCCCATTCAGTTGAAAAAAATCCATGTATAGATGCGCCCATGCAGTTCAAACCCATGCTGCCCAGGGGCCAACTGCACTGTGCCTTAGTGAAGATGCATGAGCTAGAACTGTGTGTATCAACATAGATACCTTCCAAACACATAGTCATGAGGGAATAAACAAACTGCAGAAGGTTATGGAAGGTATTAATGCATTCATATAAAGTGCAAAACCATACTGGACGGTACTCTGTATCTTTCACGAATCCAGATTTACCTAGTGAAAGCCTGCCTAGCCATAAAAACACCAAATTCAGGATAGTGATTACTTTCCTGGGAGCAAATGGCACCAGGAGGGGGCAGGCTGGGAGCTCCAGCTGTGTCATTTTTATTTATTAAACCACAGCTGGGGCTGGGCATGGTGGCTTATGCCTGTAATCCCAACACTTTGAGAGGCTGAGGTGGGTGGATCACCTGAGGTCAGGAGTTCAAGACCAACCTGGCCAAAATGGTGAAACCCCTGTCTCTACTAAAAATACAAAGATTTGCCGGGTGTGGTTGCACGTGCCTATAATCCCAGCTACTCGGGAGGCTGAGGCACGAGAATCGCTTGAACCCGGGAGACAAGGTTGCAGTGAGCCGAGATGGCACCACTGCGCTCCAGCCTAGGCAACAAAAGTGAAACTCTGTCTCAGAAACAAACAAACAAAACATAGCTGGAGCAAACGTGGCAAAGTATTAAGGATGGAGTGCTGGGTGCATGAGTATTTGCTGTTATTTCTTTGTATATACATAAATTATTTTATAATATAAAGTTTCAACCTGCCATGCATTTGTAACATTTTCAGATGAATTTGCATACATACGTTTTGAACCAGCGTGTGTGATAGAGACTGGTTTCTTTAGTCAGGAGTCTGTGCTTGGTGCACTAAGAGTTTCAGTCCCCCTCAGTTACTGCGAGGGTCTCCTCAGGAGTCTCAGCCCACAGGCAGCTAGGATCAGGATGCACCCCCTTTTAAGGATAGGGGGATTATGAAGTGTCCAGAGAGTGGTGGCACAGAAGTGGAGACACTAGGGTGTCCAGATGTGGGTCCTGGCTTAGGGGAGAGGATTTATAAAGTAAAATGGCTGCAGAGATTCTGAATCAAGCGCAGGTTGGAAGCATAGTGCTTTGTTGGTACATCAGAGACACTGCCTCCAGGGACATCAGAGGTGACTTCTGTTGAGTTCTGCTGACTGCACAGGAGACACTGTCATACCCACAAAGAATAGCAGGGGACATTTCTGCCAGAAACACCACTAAGACATTAGTAAAAATGATTGTAACCCAGCTACTCAGGAGGCCGAGATGGGAGGATCACTTGAGTCTAGGAGTTCAAGACCAGCCTGGGCAATGTAGGGAGACATCATCTCTAAAAAATAAGACAAATTAGCCAGGCATTTGGGCTGCACCTGTACATAGTCTCAGCTACTCAGGAAGTTAAGGCAGGAGGATTCCTGGAGCCCAGGAAGATGGAGGCTGCAATGAGCTATGATGGCACCACTGCACTCCAGCCTGGGTGACAGCAAGACCCCGCCTCTTAAAAACAAACAAACAAACAGAAAGATTGTAAGACAGCAAATGTCAACTTGAGTTAGTAGTTGAAAAAATAGGCTTGGCGGGGTGGCTCATGCCTGTAATCCCAGCACTTTGGGAGGCCGAGGCAGGCGGATCACGAGATCAGGAGTTCAAGACCAGCCTGATCAACATTGTGAAACCCCGTCTCTTTTTGTATTTGTAGAAATACAAAAATGAGCCAGGCATGGTGGCGGGTGCTTGTAATCCCAGCTACTCGGGAGGCTGAGGCAGGAGAATCACTTGAACCTGGGAGGCAGAGGTTGCAGGAAAAAAAAAAAGAAAAGAAAAAAAATAGGCAAGCGGGAGTTCAAAGGGTGGGAACAAATCAGTGACGCGTGAACAGACTGATTTATGAGGGCAGGGGGCAGAGTCCAGCAGCTGCTCAAAGGCCTTTATGCTTCTGTCGAAACAAGTACGTCACATGCAGAGCTCTAGGCCTTCCTGTGTCATCCGAAAGGATGGGGTGAAGGCCTGGGTTACCAAGGGGGCACAAGTCGCCCACAGGTCCGGGATGAGGAGGCCTTGGCCCACTGTGGGAGCGGGTGGTGCGGAAAGCCCATGAGGGCTCTCGAACATTCCCCAGCGCCTGACAGCGGCCAGCTGGGGACATCTCCCAGCCGTGGCTCAGCCTTCAACAAGTCAAAAAGCCAGCATCACCCACAGCGTCATCCCCAGATCTATTCTAGGTTCTGAGGTTCTAGGTGGGACTTTCAAAAGCAGAAGAAACGATGCTAAAACCGAAAGGAATTTGCCATTAGGGAGAAATGCTTTATTTTCACCAGATGACAAACTTCAGGGTTTCTGATCAAAGTTGCTGCAATTTCTTCTTTCTCCTTCAGGCCTGATTCTGCTCCCCTCCCCTGTCCTCCCATCCTTCTTGCCACAACGGGGGAAGCCCTGAAAAACCCCGGTGTTTTCATAGGCTGTGTGGAGCCCAAGGAAGGGGAGGGAAAGGAAGTGGGGCTCATTTACCACCATTCAGTTCCTGATCGGGTTCCCCAAGAAGCAGCTGGGACTCTCCAACCCAACCTCACTTCCCCGGGGTCCCTGTCATTAGGCAGATGGCACTCCCATGGCTGTCCCTGCCATGTTCCCTCAGACCCCTCCTTGCTGCCTCAGTTTCTCAGCCCTCCACCCTTCCCTGCCTCCTGCCTCTCCCTGTCTGCCCTTCTCGGGACCCAGGCTCCTTCTGTCTGTCCACAAGCATGCTCAGGTCTCCCCATCTTAAAAACAAGGTCTGGACCCCCTGAATAACCTCTTTCTTGCATTTCACAAACATGCGCTTTTGGAAAGCAGTTTATGCTCTTGAATTGACTCACTGCTCCCACTTCCTCCTGCTGCCATCCAGGGTCTGCCTGTTCCCCCTCCAGCCTCCCCGTCAGTCGAGCCTGCCCTTGGCCAGGCCCTGTGGCAGCTTAAGGTGAAGTGGTCCAGCCTGTCAGCCGCACTGGACACCCTGACTGTCTCCTGCCCGGGGCCTCTCTCCCCTGCAGTCTTTGAGGCCTTGACCACTGAGGGGACTGCTCTTTGACCTCCTCCCTACTCTTAGTTTTTTTTTTGTCTTTTTGTTTTTTTTTAAATAACAGCTTTATTGAGGTATAATTCACATTTTCTGTGCTGTCCCCATCTCGAAGTGTACCACATTCAGAGTTGCGCAGTGACCCCACAGTCCACTGTAGACCTTTTCCATCCCAGAAGGAACCCCGTGCCTCTTAGTGGTCACCCTCCAATTCCCCGCCACGCCCTCCAGGCCCAGGCATCATGAATCTGTGTTGGGCCTCTGATTTGCCTTCATTTTCACCTTCTCTGTCAACCCATGGTCTGCAGCCTTTGCTCTGCTCTGTATCCCAGGGACCTCTCTCACAGCACAGGTCTGCATTTCAGCTGTGCCAATGCTCCCCCGAAGCTCTCCGCACCCTTACCCTGGACAGCGGCCTCTTCCTGGCTGGTCCACACCCCAGCCCGACCTTCTGCTGCCCTCCCCAGCTCCGGGCTCCTGCAGCACCTTCTCTCCTCACCCCCTCCCTCACTGCTCCTAAGTCCACATGCAGGTTCACACCTCCTCATGCTTCCCACGCCTCCATGCACTTTTCACACCTCCACACATCACATCTCCTCACACCTCCACACACACTTCACACCTCCTCACGCCTCCCACTCACACCTTCTCACGCCTCCCACATCTCCACACGCTTTTCACACCTCCTGTTATGGTTTGGCTGCATCCCCATGCAAATCTCAACTTGAATTGTATCTCCCAGAATTTCCAAGTGTTGTGGGAGGGACCCACAGGGAGGTAATTGAATCATGGGGGCTGGTCTTTCCCATGCTATTCTTGTGATGGTGAATAAGTCTCACAAGATCTGATGGGTTTATCAGGGGTTTCTGCTTTTGCTTCCTCCTCATTTTTTTTCTCTTGCCGCCGCCATGTAAGAAATGCCTTTTGCCTCCTGCCATGACTCTGAGGCCTCCCCAGCCATGTGGAATTGTTAAGTCCAATTAAACCTCTTTTTCTTCCTAGTCTCGGGTATGTCTTTATCAGCAGTGTGAAAATGGACTAATACAGTAAATTAGTACCAGGAGTGGGGTGTTGCTGAAAAGATACCCAAAAATGTGAAGCAACTTTGGAACTGGGTAACAGACAGAGATTACAACAGTTGGAGGGCTCAGAAGAAGACAGGAAAATGTGGGAAAGTTTGGAACTTTCTAGAGACTTATTGAATGGCTTTGCCCAAAATGCTGATAGTGATATGGTCAATAAAATCCAGGCTGAGGTGGTCTCAGATAGAGATGAGGAACTTTTTGGGAACTGGAGCAAAGGTGACTCTGGTTATGTTTTAGCAAAGAGATTGGTGGCATTTTACCCTTGCCCTAGAGATTTGTGGAACACTGAACTTCAGAGAGATGATTTAGGGTATCTGGCAGAAGAAATTTCTGAGCAGCAAAGCATTTAGAGGTGACTTCAGTACTCTTAAAGGCATTCAGTTTTAAAAGGGAAACAGAACATAAAAATTCAGAAAATTTGCAGCCTGACTATACAATAGAAAGGAAAAACCCATTTTCTGGGAAGAAATTCAAGCACGCTACAGAAATGTGTATAAGTAGCAAAGAGCCTAACGTTAATCCCCAAGTCCATGGGGAAAATGTCCCCAGGCCATGTCAGAGACCTTCATGGCAGCCCTTCCCATCATAAGCCTTAAGTCCCTTTTGTGGGCTGGGCCCAGGGTCCCCATGCTGTGTGCAGCCTAGGGACTTCGTGCCCTGTGTCCCAGCTGCTCCAGCCATGGCTGAAAGGGGCCAACGTAGAGCTCGGGCTGTGGCTTCAGAGGGTGGAAGCCCCAAGCCTTGGCAGCTTCCATGTGTTATTGAGCCTGCAGGTGCACAGAAGTCAAGGTCTGAGGTTTGGGAACCTCCGCCTAGATTCCAGAAGATGTATGGAAATGCCTGGATGCCCAGGCAAAAGTTTGCTGTGGGGGTGGGGCCCTCATGGAGAAGCTCTGCTAGGGCAGTGCAGAAGGGAAATGTGGGGTCGGAGCCCCCACACAGAGTCCCTACTGGGGCACTGTCTAGCGGAGCTGTGAGAAGAGGGCCACTGTCCTCCAGACCTCAGAATGGTATATCCACCGACAGCTTGCACTGCGCTCCTGGAAAAGCCACAGACACTCAACACCAGCCCGTGAAAGCAGCCGGGAGAGAGGCTGTACCCTGCAAAGCCACAGGGGTGGAGCTGCCCAAGACCATGGGAACCCACCTCTTGCATCACTGTGACCTGGATGTGAGACTTGGAGTCAAAGGAGATCATATTGGAGCTTTAAACTTTGACTGACCTGCTGGATTTCAGACTTGCATGGGCCCTGTAACCACTTTGTTTTGGCCACTTTCTCCCACTTGGAACGGCTGTATTTACCCAATGCCTGTATCTCCATTGTATCTAGGAAGTAACTAGCTTGCTTTCGATTTTACAGGCTCATAGGCAGAAGGGACTTGCCTTATCACAGATGAAACTTTGGACTGTGGACTTTTGGGTTAATGCTGAAATGAGTTAAGACTTTTGGGGACTGTTGGGAAGGCATGATTGGTTTTGAAATGTGAGGACGTGAGATTAGGAGGGGCCAGGGATGGAATGATATGGTTTGGCTGTGTCCCCCTCCAAATCTCAACTTGAATTGTATCTCCCGGAATTCCCATGTGTTGTGGGAGGGACCTGGGAGGAAGTAATTGAATCACGGGGGCCGGTCTTTCTTGTACTATTCTTGTGATAGTGAATAAGTCTCAGGAGATCTGATGGGTTTATCAGGGGTTTCCGCTTTTGCTTCTTCCTCATTTTTTTCTCTTGCTGCTGCCATGTAAGAAGTGCCTTTCGCCACCCACTGTGATTCTGAGGCTTCCCCAGCCATGTGGAACTGTAAGTCCAATTAAACTTCTTTTTCTTCCCAGTCTCAGATATGTCTTCATCAGCAGCATGAAAACAGACTAATATACCTCCTCATACCTCCCATGCCTCCACACTTTTCACACTTCCTCACACCTCCCATACTGCCTCACACTTCCCACACCTCCCATACCTCGACACACTTTTCACATCTCCTCCCATCTCCTCCCACCTCCCACACCTCCCCATGCTTTCAACACCTCTCATACCTCCTCACACCTCCCATGCCTCCTCACACTTTTCAGCACCTCCTCACAGCCCCCATGCCTCTCCACACCTCCCCATGCCTCCCCACACCTCTCACACTTCCTACACCTCCTCACACCACTGGTGCTTATTACTGACATGTCTGTCTGCCTGTGTATTTCTCTGGGACAGGCCCAGCTTCTCCTCCTTTTTACAATTCTTGGGTCCAACCCAGGGTCTGATGCAGACTCAGTGCTGAGTATCAGTTGACCTGACTTGAACACCACCAATTGGAAAGCCAGGATGATGTAAATTTTCATCTGGCCTCATTTGTTCCTTAGCCTCTCATAGGGGTCACACCTCCCTCTTTTTCATTCTTGTACATCTGGGGACACTGAGCAGGAGGTGCCCGTGCTGTCAAAGCACCAGAGAGTATGACAGCAGAATTCACGTCTGCCTCCCCACAGGAGCCGTCGCCCCTCCCAGCTGAGTTCCTGCCAAGGTCAGTGGGAGCCAGTGCAGACTGGCAGAAATGGGCAGCCGGATATGAGAGCCCAGCCGGCCAGAGAGCCAGGGTGAGCCAGGAGCTTTAGCTCAAGTTCCGGACACCCACCAGTCTTTAGCAAAGTCTCTCAGAACACAGAGGGGAGTGGGTGGGAGAGTTTAGATTTTTGTTTTTGAAAACTTGGTTTATGCCCTTTAATTAATGAGGGCAAAAGTTGTACTGAAATTATATGTGCGTTTGTTGATATTATCTATATAATAAGTTATATAGATAATGTAAGTACATATATATATAATTTCAGTTTCACATGCCAGGAATTCAAACACAACTTTAAAGAACTTAAGTTTAGGAATTAACTTGAAGGATTAAGGAAGAGTTTCTCAGCACAGCTTGAATAGTGCCCAGATGAATTCAAGAGAGAGAGAGAGAGAGAGAGAGAGAGAGAGAGATGGATGGAGTTTTGCTCTTGTTGCCCAGGCTGGAGTGCAATGGTGTGATCTCAGTTCACTGCAACCTTTGCCTCCCGGGTTCAAGCAATTCTGCTGCCTCAGCCTCCCAAGTAGCTGGGATTCCAGGTGCCTGCCACCACACCCAGCTAATTTTTATAGTTTTAGAGGAGACAGGGTTTCACCATGTTGGCCAGGTTGGTCTTGAACTCCTGACCTCAGGCAATCCGCCTGCCTCAGCCTCTGAAAGTGCTGGGATTACAGGCGTGAGCCACTGCACCCAGCCTGAATTCAAGATATATTGCCACAAATTATAAGAAGTGGATAGAGCTTTTCAAAACCATGGTCAAGGCTTTTATTTTGATGTTTGCACCATGGCTTTGAGCTTGGGAGGATGAAAATGACTGATTTAACATCAGATTGTGCCTTGATATGTGATGACTTTTTCCCTCCAGGCAGGGAGGTGGCCCTAGTGATGAAATGAGTAAGGGTTTGTGAGTTATCCGCATCTTGGCTGGCGTAAGTCATCCTTCCCTTTCAGGGCTAGAATGGTGAACTCCAGGGCCCTCTTGTACTCAGTGCATTGCTTGATCTGTGTTCATGTTCATGGGGTAAGGGCTGGGGAGCATCTTAAAGTTGCTGTTGCTTCTCCTTTGTTGTTGTTATCGTTACTCTTATTAAGGCTGCAGTGAACCTTCTGTTCATACTTGGTTCCATAGCGCAGTGCTTCCCAAACTCTATTCCCGGGAACACTCATTAGGAAGACTGTAATTGGTCAAATAGATTTGGAAAACCGCTGTATACCGTATGTTTCTCTTGAAGATTGACAATATATTTGCCTTTGAAAGGCTCTGACAATTCCTGCAGGGGGAAAAAGTTTTCCTAGCAGTTTCTAAATTTGATCACGTGACATTTATTTTCGGTAATATTTCTTACCAATTTCCAGTTCTGCTGGAACACCTTGAGAAGGCCTGCCTCAGAATAAATTCTTACAAGTGGAATTGTTGGGGCAAAGCATATGAACATTTATGTATGGTGGCCAGGAGCGCTGCAATACAGCCACTTCGTGTGTTGGGTAAGAGTAATCCAGGCGTGCTGGACTGGGTTACCTACCGCTTGGTAAACCCCACTAAGTGGGCAAAATATCAAAACAGATTTTTATATTGAACGGGTCAAACATTTTTTAAAAAATTCTGTAGTTTCTTCTTCTCACTTTGGCATTTGTGAAGAAGCCTCAGTTATTAAAAGCAAGATCCCTCAGGACTGTTTAACAGAAAGGCATTGTTCTGTGTTGTGTGAAATCAGTAGCATATTTTGTAATGGAACTTTGGAGTCATGTATTAATCTATTTCTTGTTTCTAAGAGAGGTTGTTTGGTAACGTTTCTTTTTACGGATGTCAGAGAAATACCAAAGGTGACGTGTCTTGCCTAAAATCCCGTGGTGGGTTGTCAGATAAAGTGGAACCAGGACTCCTTTAAAGAAGGGTCACTGTACTGAGCCATCTATTGTGCCGTTACCAGAGAAAAATATTTTAATGTATATTAAATATATACATTATATATATTTATATATACATATATATATTTATATATATACATTATATATATTTATATATATACAGGTGTAAATCCCTGCCTCCTACCTACTTGCAAAAAGGATTTATGACAGAGAGAAAACTCATAGCAGAACCAAATAATTCTTCTAGAAGGTTGGAAGCCTCACCTATGAAGCTCGGAGGAGGTTATAAAAGGGAAGAGGTGCTTACTTAGAAATCTTTAGGAATGGCCGGGCACAGTGGCTAACGCCTGTAATCCCAGCACTTTGGGAGGCCGAGGTGGGTGGGGCACTTGAGGTCAGGCGTGAGCCATTGTGCCTGGCCGTCATAAGATCATTATCTTATGGTTCTTTTTTTAAGAGCTGAGGCCTCACACTATATTGGTGAGGGTGGTCTTGAACTCCTGGGCCCAAGCGATCCTCCCATTTCAGCCTCCTCCCTGAGAAGCAGCGGAGAGTAGATGTGACTGGGGGATTCATGAGGGAGAGGAGGACCAGGCGGGTATGCACGTTGAGCACCGGGGTTCAGGAGCTTCAGGGGGCTGTGGGAGGAAAGGCCCCGAGGCCGAGGGTAGGTTTAGGAACTCCATGGAGAGCAGTTTGCTTGCAAGTGGGGAATGTGAGTCTTCTTTCCCCGCCCCGGCTTCATTGAAGTATAATTGACAAAGACGGAATATATTCAAAGTGTGCACCGTGATGTTTTGATAATACATGTACATAAGGAATGATTCCCACAATCAAGCTAGTTAACAACATATCCATCACCTCACACAGTTGCCCACCCTTGTTTTGTGGTGAGAACACTTAAGATCTCTCTTAGCAAATTTCGAGTAAACAATACATTGTTACTGACTGTAGTCACCACGCTGTAGGAGAGCTCCCCAGGACTTACTCAACGTGGCTGGAGGACACTACGCTAAGTGAAATAAGCCAGTCACAGAAAGACAAATAGATCCCGCTTATATGTGGAATCCAAACAAGTTAGAACTCATAGAAACAGAGAGTACAGTGGTACAGTGGTGGTTGTCAGGGGCTGGGGGATGAGGGGTGCGGCAGGAGAATGGAGAGATGTTGGTCAAAGAGTCCAGACTTGCCGGAATGGGCGTCTTCAGATGCTTGACAGATTGTTTCTGAAAAGCTGTCCTCTCTCCTCCAGTCTTCCACACCCTTTCTTTCCTTCTCCCAGTACTGTATTGCAACCCTGTTAAACACCAGGGATCCATGTGCTCATGTGTAACTGCTCCACAGGCTACCCTAGTCCCCAGAGACCCCCCACTGAGATCCCCATGAGCCTGAGCCCCTGCTTGAATCTCCAGCACGTGCTGTAGCAGTAGCAGCCTCCTTGTCTGGGGCGTGGAAGCATGCGTGGACACCTACCTTCTGCCTCCTCTTCACCTTCTCGAAGGCTCTGCCAGGCTCTCTGCCATCCAGTGTGTGTGGGCAATCCAGCAATTGTGAAGACTTAGAAAAGAGCTTGAGAAATGCCAGTCTGCAATATTTCTGTTTCAGAAAACAGTCCAATTTGATACTTCTTTTGTCCAAAGATGTTTTGTTATTTTAAATGTACTGCAAAGTTTGAGGCCTGGGTAGGCAGACACTTACTAATTTGGTGCCAGCAAAAATTCTAATAAAGAGAGTGGACTGTTTGTTTATCTTAAATAAGAATCTTAAGGCCGGGTGTGGTGGCTCACACCTGTAATCCCAGCACTTTGGGAGGCTGAGGTGGGCAGATCACCTGAGGTCAGGAGTTCGAGACCAGCCTGGCCAACATGGTGAAACCCCATCTCTACTAAAAATACAAAAATTAACTGGGTGTGGTGACACCTGTAATCCCAGCTACTTGGGAGGCTGAGGCAGGAAAATCACTTGAACCCGGGAGGCAGAGGTTGCAGTGAGCCGAGATGGCGCCATTGCACTCCAGCTCGGGCAACAAGAGTGAAATTCTGTCTCGAAAAAAAAAAAAAAAAAGAATCTGAACAGAAGTACTTGGCCATGGTAGACTAGTAATACATTTAGTTTTGTTTTCTTTTTTAACCATGTTCGAATTCCTTTACTATTAAAACTGTATGTGCAACATAAGAAATGTTTGGCATAACAAACGTGGACATTTCAATTATAAAAAACGTGCCCAGCGCTGGGGGATGAAGGGGCAGAGGAATTCCCAGTGATGGTATCAGTCTGGTTCTGTCAACATATTGGACCCCAACCTGCCATGCTTTTCTGTCGTTGCAGGTGATTTTCAAAGCCAAGTCAAAATATTCTCCAGAATTACTCAAATACCGGTAAGTACTGCAGGGCATCTCTTTCTGTGGTAGAAGGGGAAAGTGCCGACACATGAATCTCATCTCTCCATTGGGGTTTGCACACATCGCTGTTCTGTGAGCCGCCGGAAACAGTCCTGCCTGCTGGCTGGCTGCCCACATTGTGCACATCATGTGCATTGCCGGTAAGGGTCAGGTCATCAGATCATGACTTCATGAATCATGGGGACTTGCATCATACTTACCCAGTTCAGAAACAAGAGCCTGGTGCCTTTCCTAACAGGAGGAAATACATGGGAATAAAATAGGTGTATGTTGCCTCTAAACCTTCCTGAGGCACTTGAGAAGAGCCTCAGCAGAAGGAAACAGGGTTCCTTGAAGATGCAGTGCTTTGCCAGGTGCTTCCCCTTCCCCATCCCGCACCTCCCATGCTCCCACTGCAGGTGCAGGTGCAGGTGCAGGTGCAGGTGCAGGTGCAGGTACAGGTACAGGTACAGGTGCAGGTGCAGGTGCAGGTGCAGCTGTGGCAGGGCCTCGCCCCTGCAGCCTGCCACCTGGTGGCCTTACCCGCCTTGTCTCAGCTGCTGGTAGGCTCCGGCTCCTTGTTTTCCAGAACTTCAGTGCCCATTGAACCCTAAGTTGCTACACAGCTGCTTGCAGGGTATCCATCCACATCCAGAAATACTGTTCTGACCATTCAGTGCTCATTTAGGCACCAGGAGGAAGAATGTGTTATAGCTGAGAAGTGGACACTCTATATTTGTAACAATGGCTTAACACAAAGGCTTGCAGAATCAGGCAGAGCAGGATGTGCAACATGCCAAAAACATGGACACCGGGAGGCATGGACATTTTGTGGAAGAGAGGCTTGTGCCAGAGTGTAATCTGGAAGGGAACCTCTTAAGTTATGTGAGGAGGGGGATCTGCATTTTCCTATGGAGGGGTTCGTAGCTCTCCCCAGAGGGGAGAGGCCTATGACTTTCCTAAGGCCAAGAACCAGTGGCTTAAAGAATACTCAGGTTTGGCTGGGCACGGTGGCTCACGCCTGTAATCCCAGCACTTTGGGAGGCCGAGGTGGGCTGATCACTTGAGGTCAGGAGTTCGAGACCAGCCTGGCCAACATAGTGAAACCCTGTCTCTACTAAAAATACAAAAATTAGCCGGGCGAGGTAGCGCACATCTGTTGTCTCAGCTACTTAGGAGGCTGAGGTGGGAGAATCACTTGAGCTCAGGAGGCAGAGGTTGCAGTAAGCCAAGATTGCACCACTGTGCTGCAGCCTGGGCAACAGAGTGAGAATCCATCTCAAAAAAAAAAAAAAAAAAAAAAAAAGAATGGTCAGGTTTGACTGGGGTTGGGGGAGGAGAACAGGCCTCTGGAAGAGGCGCGGGGGTGCAGTGTGAGTCCAGGGGTTCTGGCGTTTCTGCCCGGGAGAACTCCATTGCCAACGGCAAACATTTCTGAAAAGGTGACTCTGGCCATTGCCTCCTTGGGTCAAAATGAAAAATTATTTTGTCATTTTTTAAAATATGTTAAATCGTATACATATTTTATTTAAATATATATCATCTAAAAATATGTAAAGACTTTTTACTTAAAATTCTGAAGGTGTAATAGTTTAATCCTGAGTTTATATCCAAGGAAACCAGTTCAGAAGGTTTCTCTCAAGTTCAGAAAGTTCTGTGAAGGTGCCTGGGCCAAGATACAAGTCCCAAGACTCACCGTCCCGGGTTTTGTTTTGTTTTTCACCTGATCTTGCTGTCTCCCTTCACTGCTTTGTACGTGGCTCAGTTCACGTCTCTACCAGGCTCAGGTGGAACTTCAGCGTCCACTGTGAAATGATGTTGGTCCCAAGGAGAGCAATTTAAAGTACAGGTTGAGTGTCCCTAATCTGAAATGCTTGGGACCAAAAATATTTCAGATTTCAGATTTTTTTGGATTTTGAAATATTTGCATATACAGGCCGGGCACGGTGGCTCACTCCTGTAATCCCAGAACTTTGGGAGGCCGAAGCAGGTAGGTCATTTGAGGTCAGGAGTTTGAGACCAGTCTGGCCAACATGGTGAAACCCCGTTTCTACTAAAAATACAGAAATTAGCTGTGCGTGGTTGCAGGTGCCTGTAATCCCAGCTACTCAGGAGGCTGAGTTGGGAGAATCGCTTAAGCCTAAGGGGTGGAGATTGCAGTGTGTGGAGATCATGCCACTGCACTCCAGCCTGGGCAACACAGCGACTCTGTCTCAAAAAAAAAAAAAAAAGGAAAAAGATATTTTTGTATACATAATGAGAGATGGGGGGATTGGATGGGACACAAATCTAACACGAAATGTATTTATGTTTCAGATACACCTTATACACATATCCTGAAGGCAACTTTATACAACATTTTAAATAACTCAGCATAAAACAGTTGTAACTGTGTTTTGACTGCAATCCATCACATGAAGTCAGGTGTGGAATTCTCCAGTTGTGGCATCAGGTTGATTGATGCTCAGAAAGTTTCAGATTTTGGAGCATTTCGGATTTTGAATTTTTGGGTTAGGGATGGTCAACCTGTATAAAGTACAAGTAGACAGTTCCCTCTCTTCTCCAGTAACAAGATAGTAGCCTCTCCTCTGCATCTATAGTCTTTGCCCTGCATCCCCCCAGCCAGAAATGTAGGTCAAAGCATGAGTGAAGATGGGCATAGGAGGAGAACATTCTGTCTGATCGGACCGTGGAACTGATTTTATCTTGGAAGCAGTTGAGGCTGGGGTAATTAGATGTCTTCTAGAGGTGGAATATAAAAGCACTGGTCAGAAAGGAAATTGTTTAAAAAGCTTTCAACCTCTGAGCACGGGGACTGGGGTCTTCGGGTGAGAAGATATGTGCGTGGGGCAGTCCTTGCTTGATCCTTGAGCCAAAGTATACCTCAAAGACAGGCTGCGCTGACATGTATGGCTGCATTTTATTGGGAAGGGATTCACAGAAATGAAGGGAGAAGATGGGGAGAAATAAATTTGGATCCAGATGTTAAAAGTGAGATGTTTGGGACTGGGCGCGGTGGCTCATGCCTGTAATCCCAGCACTTTGGGAGGCCGAGGCAGGCAGATCACCTGAGATCAGGAGTTTGAGACCATCCTGGCCAACATGGTGAAATCCCACTAAAAATACAAAAATTAGCCAGGCATGATGGCGCATGCCTGTAATCCCAGCTACTTGGGAGGCTGAGGCAGGAGAATCACTTGAACCCAGGAGGTTGAGGTTGCAGTGAGCCGAGATTGTGCCATTGCACTCCAGCCTGGGCAACAAGAACAAAAACTCCATCTCAAAAAAAAAAAAAAAAAGTGAGATGTTTAGGCCAGTGAAGTTGGAGAGTTCCTTGAAACAGGAGGGTGAGGTTTCAATGGGACATGCCTGTTAACCCAGTCCTAGTGATTTTGTTGCCAAATATAAAGAAATACTAGGAGTTATTCCTGTGTAGGCACATCTTTAGTCTCATCTATAGAATTCCTCAGTTCTCTTAAACCAGATGCCACTAGAGACATTTCAGGCCACAATCTCTCCCTTGAGATGCTTTGGTATGTTGGCTTCTAAATAGATTGGCTTCCCTCATTTAATCATAACTCACTTGAAATAAAACATGAGCCATTAGTCTAGAACTAGTTGAAACTTTCCACTCCAATCTATTCCTGTAGTAATTCACTGGTTTTGAAGATAATTTATATTTAACTCAGCCAAGAACCACTTTATTTTTCACTTAAAATCACCTCTACCCTCCCACATCTGCTAGCTCAGAGTTTTGCTGGAGTGGAAGGCAATTTAATTCAGGCTTTCTCTTTCTCAGTCTATGTATTTTAATTTATTTGGTTTAAGAAATGTGAACATTTGGCATGGGAGTAATCATTTCCAACTGTTTGCCCTCTAGCTTTGTGATTTTTTTAAATAAGTAAAAAATACAGTGAGCCAGGTTTTCCTTTTTTTTTTTTTTTAAGAGACAAGGTCTCACCCAGGCTGGAGTGCAGTGGCGGTGGTGCAATCATAGCTCACTATAGCTTTAATCTCCTGGGCTCAAGCGATCCTCCTGCCTCTGCTTCCTGAGTAGCTGGGAATACAGGTGCATGTCACCACATCCAGCTAATTAAAAAAAAATTTTTTTTTTTTAGAGACAGGTTCTTGCTATGTTGCCCAGGCTGGTCTTGAATTCCTGGACTCAAGCGACTCTCCCGCCTCAGCCTCCCAGAGTGCTGGGATTACAGGTACACGCCACCATGCCTGGCATGCTTTTCCCTTTCTTTAAGTGAAAAAGCAGCGGCTCATGTTTGTAATCCCAGCACTTTGGGAGGCTGAGGTGGGAGCATCACTTGAGCCCAGGAGTTCAAGACCAGCCGTGACAACAGAGCAAGATCCCATCTCTACAAAATAAAAAAATCAGCTGGGCGTAGTGGTGCGCGCCTGTATTCCCAGCTACTTGGAATGCTGAGGTGAGAGACTCGCTTGAGCCTAGGAGGTTGAAGCTGCAGTGAGCTGTGATTGCACTCCTGCTCTCCAGCCTGGGTGACAGAGCAAGACCCTGTCTCAAAAAAAAAAAAAAAGAAGAAAGAAAAGGATGAAAGGAAGGGAGGGAGGGAAAGAGAGAGAGAGAAAGGAAGAAACGAAGGAAGGGAAAGAGAGAAAGACAGGTAGGGAAAGAGAGAGAGAGAGAGAGGAAGGAGGGAGGGAGGGAAGGAGGAAGAAAGGAAGGAAGGAATCGATGGTATTGGGAGATAAATTTAAACAATGCTTTACCCCTTGCTTCTGTCCTCTCACAGTAGGAGGTGTCGGGCACTGTTGTGTTGGCTGCCTTGAAGACTCGCCTCATCCCTGCATTTGCTGACCAGCAGCACTGATCCTTCTGGTCCCACAAGCAATGTGGTCTTCCCAGATGCTGGGTCACACTGATTGTTTTATTTCTTTGGGTCATTTCTGTCATCATGCCAGGATGAGCTATTTATCCTGGCCCTATGGTTTAGGTTAAAAGGCAGTAGTATTGGGGGCAGTGTACAAAATTCTTTCTGTGGAAACATACTTTTTTGATACAGTTTATTCTGGCCTCCTTTGAAAACTCTCTCGCCACACCTCCAGATCGCTCCCTTTCTACCACAGCTGCAGGCATAGAGGGAAAAAAACTTGTTTTGCAAGATGGTTTTGCATTATAAAAGTGATAACAAGGATATTAGGAAAAAAATTATACAATAGAAAAAGATAGACATTTTGTGAATATAGACATGTGGAAAGAAAGCAAGCAAGTCCACTGAACTTTCCCTCCTCCCAGCATAAACCCCCCTCCAGCCCTAAGGAAATACAATGATGTATTCCATTATAGGTTTTTATACAGATTTCCCAAGACAAAGTTGATGTCTATATTGCATTTCCAATTTTGCATCCTGACTTTTTAACTTGATGTTAGGTCACACATATTTTTCCATATTGTTTTAAATCTCCCAACACAGCCTCCTTTCCTAAGATAATAACAGGCTTTTGTTGAGTAGACTAAACAAAGCCTCCTAAAGGCTCTGAGAATAGGATTTGATAGATAAAAATCAAGAAGGAGGAAGGTTCCAGGCAGAAAAGTCAGCTTGCAGAAAGACAGGAGGTGGAGACACCTGGCCATGTTTAAAACATGGAGTTGACCAGCTTGATGAGCACGTAGCCTGTCCATAGATTGAGCTGCCTCTTGAGTGCTGGGTTCTGGAAGATGCGGGGTGGGGCTTTAGGGCAAAGATGAATTAGGAAACTACATTAGTTCTGGTCAGAGGCATGAGACTGTGTGAGGCTGGCACAGGAGGCATGGATAGAGTGGGAATGAAGAATCTACTGACCTTGACAATGGATTATATAGGGGGTGGATGGAATCAAAGAAGAACATTACAGTTAGAGTCTATGAAAAGCTATGGCACCTTTAACAGAAATAGGAACACTTAGAGGCGTGCTAGAAGAGGGACACTGGGGCTGGGTGCAGTGGCATGCACTTGTAGTTCTAGCTACTCAGGAGGCTGAAGTGGGAGAATCGCTCGAGCCCAGGAGTTCAAGGCTGCAGTGAGCTAGGATTGCATCACTGTACTCCAGCCTGGGTGACAGAGCAAGACCCCAACTCAGAAAAAAAGGACATTGGGAATTGAGTTTGGGACATGCTGGCTTGAGGGGGCAGGGCCTCCGAATGGCAGGCTGTTAGGGAAATGAGTCTGGAACTCAGATCAAAGGCATGGCTTGAGACGAAAGATGTTTGAACTCAGTCATACAAAAGTCATGATTGAAGCTACAGAAACAAGCATATTTTCTGAGGAAGAGTGTAGGCCAGGTGCAGTGGCTCTCAGCTGTAATCCCAGCACTTTGGGAGGCCGAGACGGGAGGATCACTTGAGGTCAGGAGTTCGAGGCTGCAGTGAGCCATGATTGTGCCACTGCATTCCAACCTGGGTGACACAGGGAGATGCTGTCTCTTAAAAAATACAGAAAATCATAAGAGAAAACAAATTTTCTACTTATTAAGTGGAAGTGGGTGATCATCAAGGTCTTCATCCTCATTGTGTTCATGCTGAGTAAGTGGAGGAGGAGAGGGGAGAGGAAGGTTTTGCTGTGTCAAGGGTGGCAGTGGAGGAAAATCCGTACATAAGTGGCCCCGCACAGTTCAAACCTGTATTGCTCAAGGGTCAACTGTATTTCAGACAGCACCCACGAGGAATCATCTGGAAAATGTAAGTGGCCAGACAGTGCGTTCCCCAGAGGCTGCTGCATGGAGTGTGTGTACACGCGGGTTCTGGATGTTTCCATCTAGCGCTCTTCACAAAAGCACAGCGGATAAAACAATAAAAGCAGGGCTTTTGAGAATCTGGAATACAGATTTTTGGTAACTCCCAAGCGGCCCTGCCTTTGTCTCTCTCCACAGCTCCTTTGGCCCATACCCCCCTCCCCTGATTCCCCCATCACTGAGAGAACATGGGGCAGAGCACATGAAAACCGTAATACCTCCCTGTAAGCCAGGGGCTGCCCTCAAAGCTCCACAGGCATTATTTCCCTCGCCCACTCCATGGCCTCAAGAGACTGACACGGAACACCTCCAGCCCTAGACAGGAGGAAGCAGCGGGGCTTGCTTGGTTAGGTGACTGGCTGAAGGTTGCATGCAAATTTCAGTTTCCTGATTCTGACCTACACCAAGGGCTTTACAACAGGTTCCAGGAAGAGAAGAAACACTCCCATGTTGAATGCACAGTGTTCCATAGTGCAAGATGATCCCGACCGTGGAAACATGAAAACATGAAGCAAAGAGTGTGTCATAGAATTGAAGGATAGGCACTTAGTGGGAGCCCGGCATGGCATTTTGAGGCTGGGGATGTGGGAGGGTGGGGCTGCCCCTCTCATGCCCACAGTCTGGTGGGGAAGAGGTTGGAGGTGCGGAGGGAACAGCAGGGCCTGTGACATGAGAGAGTGAGGGGCCTTGCTCAGCGATCAGGGCCTGGAAAAGAATCTGTCCATGGCAAATCATTAACGTTTCTGTTTGAAAAGCTCTGAGTGTATCATGACACATGAGGTCGAATCCCTAAGACTTCACAGCGCTCTCCATCATCACACAGCTCTTGGGGGGTGGGGGGCACTGTTCCCATCCCACTGCAGCCATGCTGGGGTGGCGGGTCCCCTCCTGCATGTCCGACTCGCTCATCTCTCCGATGCAAGTACTTTGTCCCTCCTCCAGGGCACACACGTTCCTTACTGTGGCACCTTCCTGCCCCCTGAGCTGCTTGGGGGCCCGGGCTGCCTCATCTTCATCCCACTCTCTCAGCACGAGCCTGATGAGCAGCCAGCCCCCAGCACAGGGCTGTGCAGGGAGAAGCCTGCAGTCCTTTCCGCCTCCCCAGAAAGTTGTTTAATTCCCCTGTGACGGGTCGTTTTCCCACTAGCCAGGGGAAGATCTAGCAGCTACTGTGCTTAGAGCATTCATAGGAAATAAAAGGGCAGCCCTTGATAGCTGACGTCATGCTTTTTGGACTGACTCCTTCCTTCTTCCCTCCCTCCCTCTTAAACCTTCTTCGTGGAGACCCTGCCACCTACAGTGTGGATGGAGAGAGTGGAAATGGAGAGTCTCATTTTCCACGGGACTTTCTGTCTAGGGAGACGCAGGCATTGATCAGATGGTCACCCGTCTGTTTTGTTATAAACTGTGATAAGTCTGTGAAGTTAAAATATGAGGGACCAGGAGAGCAGATGTCAGAGAAACCTGACTGCCTGTGTACCCATGGTGTGTGTGCGTGTGAGGAGGTACAGGGAGGGTCAGGGGTGTGTTTGCTGCAGTGCTGTTTGAGCTAAGATCTAGAGGATGAGCAGGAGCCGGGTAGACAAAGTTCTTTGGTAGAACTGGGTTCTGAAAGTTATGTGAGAGATTTTTGCCAGTGGGTAAATTATTAATTACAAGACATAAAATGCCATTCGGATTAGCCTGAGTAAGTGGGGGGTTGTTATGTCACACTGGAATCTGAGGGCAGGAAATAAAACTGCAGCTGGGCATGGACCTGGGTGGGCTGGAACCAAGGTCTCTTTGGGCCATATCCCCTGCCCCTCTCTGTCTCTTTTTCTCTGTCTGCCTCTTTCTCTCTCTACCCCCTCCCTCTCCCTACCCACCGACTTATCATCAGTGGCATGTCTAGAGCTGGGACTAGAATCCCAGTTTCCATGTCCTAGTCTTTCCATAGATTTTACACAGGTCACTTAGGAAGTGTGTAGCTCTGAGAAACTACAGGTTAAAAATGGCCAGTGAAGTAGAGTTTTGCATCTGTTGATCCTTGGGTAGTTGCTGTGGCAGTTTTTTGTTTTTGTTTTTGTTTTTTTTTGAGACTTGAGCCTCGCTCTGTGCCCCAGGCTGGAGTGCAGTGGCGCGATCTCGGCTCACTGCAACCTCCACCTCCCGGTTCAAGTGATTCTCCTGCCTCAGCCTCCTGAGTAGCTGGGATTACAAGTGCGTGCCACCACACCCAGCTAATTTTTGTATCTTTAGTAGAGACGGGGTTTCACCATGTTGGCCAGGCTGGTCTTGAACTCCTGACCTCAAGCTATCCACCTGCCTTGGCCTCCCAAAGGACCGAGATTACAGGGGTGAGCCACTGCACCCGGCCTGTGGCAGATTTTTAATCACATAAGTGAGCGCTCTCTGGACTCCACATCAATAATGACTTTTGGGGGTAAAATGCATTATACAAATTCATTATCTCACCTAATCCCCACAAAAGACCTATACATAAGGTAGGTATTATGTAGTCTTATTTTCAAGTGATGGAACCAAGGCTCAAGAGGTTGCATTTTGTCTAAGTTAATTCTAACAATGTGGAGTTGTCAGAATGCCTATAAAACGCCATCCCGAGCTGTGCTCTCCACTCTTCGCTGTGAGTAGGGAGCGCTCAGCGAGTGTCCACGCCAGCCAACGAGTGTGAGCTCTCAGTCCTCACAACATCCCACAGATGGGGAAAGTGGGGTTCAGAGAGGTAAAGGACCATCCAGAGGCATAATTTGGGGTCAGTTTGTAATTTGAATCTGGGAACGTCTATTGCCAGAGTCCAAGCTCTTAAATGTCACCTTTGGTGTGTCTGCTTCTAGCAGTTCACCAAAACACATCTCAGTGTCCTTCTAGACTGACCTGGGATGTGCAGCTGACAAGTTGCTCTCATGCCTTCCAGGTTGCCCCTCTACCTGGCCTCCCTCTTCATCAGCCTTGTTTTCCTGTTGGTGAATTTAACCTGTGCTGTGCTGGTAAAGACGGGAAATTGGGAGAGGAAGGTTATCGTCTCTGTGCGAGTGGCCATTAATGACACGCTCTTCGTGCTGTGTGCCGTCTCTCTCTCCATCTGTCTCTACAAAATCTCTAAGATGTCCTTAGCCAACATTTACTTGGAGTCCAAGGTAGGTGGAAATGTGGTCAAGATCCCTCCCATGAAACGTGTTCTAAAAAGAGTTTCCTGGTTTGCAAAAGTACATTTTGATGAATTTTAGACTTGATTTTGCCTTGACTTTCTCCGTTTTATTGTCTCCCACACAGGGGCTACTCGAGGTTTTTTTTTTTTTTTTTTTTTTTTTTTTTTGAGACGGAGTCTCACTCTGTCTCCCAGGCTGGAGTGCAGTGGGGTGATCTCGGCTCACTGCAAGCTCCGCCTCCCAGGTTCACGCCATTCTCCTGCCTCAGCCTCCTGAGTAGCTGGGACTACAGGCACCCACCACTACGCCTGGCTAATTTTTTGTATTTTTAGTAGAGACGGGGTTTCACTGTGTTAGCCAGGATGGTCTCAATCTCCTGACCTTGTGATCCACCTGCCTCGGCCTCCCAAAGTACTGGGATTACAGGTGTGAGCCACCGCGCCCGCACTACTCAAGGCTTTTAACAACAGAACTGTGGTTTTTAATAGGAAGGGTTGAATCATAGGTTGTCAGAATACCACTGAGCTCACCCCTATGGCACACAAGCTAACAAAGCACTACTGGCAAAAGAAAATAATATCTTAGGTTTAGTTAATGACTGTCTAATACAGTACTCAAAAGTCAGTTTTAGTTTTTTGGTCATGTTAACTATCCATTTTGAGCCAGGGGTCTTTTAACTGTCTTTGGAAATTGATAGCTTCATAACGTGGGGCACAAATCACTGATTTCCAGGTAATTCCGAGTCCAAAGTCACATTAGGGCTCCTGTATTCCCGGCCTCAAAGATTCCAGACAGAGCCGTCCTGAGCTCTGCCCCAGCCATTGTCCCTCTGAGATTGTTTACTTGCCTCCTTGAGCCAGAGGCCCTGGCCCCGGGCTCACCTGCTGCGTGTGGAAGCCAAGAAGATCCTCTTGGAGCTGAGCAGTGGCCATCAGAGATTTAGCAAAGCAGCCATCTGACTTTCTTGCTCGTACACTCTAGGCCACGGGAAAATGGTGCATATTTTAACCCTGTTAAAGGCATCTCCAAACCAAGTCCCAGGGTCCATATGAAGACACTTGAAATTGTAGGAAGAAGGAGTGTGAAAAGGACTCTGATGGAAGACCCAACAAGATCACAGTGCTCTGAGATCCCAAAGGGCTTTACCAGACTGATAGCAGGTGGGGGCTGGGGAAGGGGCTGGTGTCTTGGACCTGGAGTGTCCCATACCTTCTGCTCCCTCTTTTCCAGGGCTCCTCCGTGTGTCAAGTGACTGCCATCGGTGTCACCGTGATACTGCTTTACACCTCTCGGGCCTGCTACAACCTGTTCATCCTGTCATTTTCTCAGAACAAGAGCGTCCATTCCTTTGATTATGACTGGTACAATGTATCAGACCAGGTCAGTGGGGGCGCTGAGGAGGTGTCACCTGACCAGGGACTCTTGGTATCCTCGA
Organism: Homo sapiens; assembly: GCF_000001405.40. Classification (NCBI taxonomy): domain Eukaryota; kingdom Metazoa; phylum Chordata; class Mammalia; order Primates; family Hominidae; genus Homo; species Homo sapiens. The sequence goes on from NC_000001.11 coordinate 236,180,084, forward strand.
GGCATTGGTTCCAGGACCCCAGAAAATACCAAAATCTGGATGCTCAAGTCCCTGATATAAAATGGTGTAGTATCTGCATATAACCTACACGCATCCTTCTGTATACTTTAAATTAATCTCTAGATGATTTACAATACCAAATACAACACAAATGCTATGTAAACAGTTGTTATACTACATTGTTTGAAAATTTCTATTTTTAATTGTTATTAGTATTTTTTATTTTCAAATATTTTTGATCCGTGGATGGTTGAGTCTGCAGATGTGGAACCCGCTGATATGGAGGGCCGACTGTTTGCATTTCAGTGGTTCACATGGGAGACAAGTCCATGGTCCTTGTTTCTGCTGGTGAATGACTGAGTGACCTTGAGAGGTCACTTCCCTGTGTGGCATCTGAACTCATCTGTCAGATGGGATCACAGCACCTGCCTTGTTCCCTTTTGAGAAAACCAGGAGATTACATATTTGTGTGTATGTATCCACATACATGTGTACACACATACTTTGCACTCCATTCTCCCTCTTAGGGCTTTTATTAAGCAGTACTTAATTTTTTTTTTTTTTTTTTGAGACGGAGTTTCACTCTTGTTGCCCAGGCTGGAGTGCAATGGCGCGACCTGCCTCCCAGGTTCAAGCAATTCTCCTGCGTCAGCCTCCAGAGTAGCTGGGATAACAGGCACCCACTACCATACCTGGCTAATTTTTTGTATTTTTAGTAGAGATGGGGTTTCACCATGTTGGCCAGGCTGGTCTCGAACTCCTACCTCAGGTGATCCACCTGCCTCGGCCTCCCACAGTGCTAGGATTACAGGCGTAAGCCACTGTGCCAGCCAGTACTTAATTTTTTTAACATGCTTCCATATAAATGTAAGATGATATTATTAAAGGGTGACATTTGCAGATAGTAAGCAAATTGTATTCAGACTTTAGAAAATACATAGGACTATGAAGTTATGAGAATGTTTTTGTTTTTTTTGTCATCCTCAGGGAGTGAATTTTTTTTAATGGAGCACGTACACAGCATTTGAGAAAATCTAGACAAAAGTGACTGAGGATATTAAAGTTTTATAAAAGCTCATGGCACTAGTTGTTGCAATATGATACTCTTTTTAAAAATACATTCTATAAATGTATAAGTTACGAGTCATAAAGCAAATGAACAAAGGTAGTGAAATGTCATCTGCCATCCATGCTCACAAAAACTCAAAGCAACAATGAGAATGAACCACCATTCACTCATTTGACAAACAGCATTTTTTTTTTTTCCTCATCTTGGGCACTGTGCAAAGTGCCAGGGATACAAAACCGAACAGACTCATTCCCTGCCCTTTGGGAGCTTTATGGTCCACTAAGGAAAAGAGACACACAGATTAGCCATTAACAATAAAGAAATGTAACTTCTCTATTATACATTTATTAGATTGATTGGCAAATGTTCCTTAGCTTTTCTTGGAAAAGTATTGAATACCTAACCATCTATAAATCTTCTAACATCTCAATAGTGCTCAAACCCTGAGCTGGATTTAGACAGTGGAAGAAAGAATAAAATGATCATGATAAGCTAAACCTGTGAGGACAAGGTAAAATTGTGTTGTAATTAGAAAGGATTAAAACCACATCTCTGAACCCAAACCAACACCACAAACACAGGATGGCAGAAAGCTGGGCAAGGCACTGCTAAGGGCGTGCACTATTTTGAGGAAATCAAGTATATGAAAATCTAAACTTTAAACAATGATTAATTAGAGACAATCATAATACACAAAGGATTTGATTTTGTATTGTAGTAAAATACACATAATATTTGCTATTTTTTTTTTTTTTTTTTGAGACGGAGTCTCTCTCTGTCACCAGGCTGGAGTGCAGCCGCACAATCTTGGCTCACTGCAACCTCCGCCTCCCGGGTTCAAGCGATTCTTCTGCCTCAGCCTCCTGAGTAGCTGGGAATACAGGCAAGCGCCACCATGCCGGCTAATTTTTTTGTATTTTTAGTAGAGACGGGTTTCATCATATAGGCCAGGCTGGTCTTGAACTCCTGACCTCATGATCCGCCCACCTCGGCCTCCCAAAGTGCTGGGATTATAGGCGTCAGCCACCGTTGGCTGGCCCTATTTTAACCATTTTTAAGTGTACAGTTCACTGGTATTAAGTACACTCAGTGTTGTGCAGCCATCATCACCATCCATCTCTAGAATTTTTTCATCTTCCTAAACTGAAACTCTGTATCCATTAAATAACAAAGATTTGGGTTTAACAAAGTTACTTCAGTTTTTCTTCAAGTAAGAATGCATGGGTGCTCTGCCTATAAACTCTATATATGGAGGAGTGGCCATTCTTTCTTTACTTTCCTAATCTTGCTTTCACTTAAAAACAACAAAAAAAATTTATGGGTGGGTGCAGTGGCCTGTAATCCCAGCATTTTGGGAGGATCACTTGAGGCCAGAAGTTTGAGACCAGCCCTGGCAACATAGCAAGACCTCATCTCTACAAAAAATAAAAAATTAAAATTAAAAAATAACCCAGGCATGTTGGCACACACCTGTAGTCCTAGCTGCTTGGAGGGATCACTTGAGCCCAGGAGCTGAAGGCTGCAGTGAGGTGTGATCGCACCACTGCACTCCATCCTGGGTGACAGAGCAAGACCCTGTCTCAAACAAACAAACAAAAAATATATATATAAAATTTATAATTGCAGTGGATTTAAAATATGACAATCTTTAAAATTCTTCTATTTTTATGGGATATTTATGGTTATCTAGATGTGTGTTGCCACCAAAATAATCTAGGAGCAAGCAAAACAAATGACCACAGTTGTATGACTTACTTGTGCGGAATCAAAAAAGAACACATGATGGAGATGTGATATAGAGGAAGTAAGAGAGTGATCTTTCTGAAAGAAGCATGCGTAGTTTTGGTCACCATGCTTTAAGTATGATGTTATAGAGAAGGCAAAAGGGTTAAGTTTAGGTGTTTGGGCCTTTACGATTGCCCAAACCCAACCATGTGCTTTCCTCAGGAACCTTCTGTCTGTTCTGAAGAGAGAACACTGCTCCACCAAGCTCTCTGGCCATCTCACTGGGCCTCATACCAAACACCTTAGGCTCTGTGGATTGTTTTTCTAGACAAGCTAGCCTACAGTACGCTTTAAAGGGTAAACAACAGGATATGGTTTATGTGAAGAAACATTTGAAAGTTGACCTCTTTATCCTAGGGATGAGACTAAGGGATAATAGTTGTATGCTGCTCCCAAGAATTTAGGAGGAGGCAACATAACCTTCTCACTATTCAATTGTTGAAGAAAATCAGCTTAGATTTAAGTGAGAGTGTTAATTTGGACTTAAGAGTTTTGGGGGCATGAAATATTAAAACATCAGAGGTTAGAAGTTTCTGTCTTTGAATATTTTGAAGAAGAAGATAATCATTTATCTCATATGGTTTAAAAAATCCGTATCTGAGGTCTAGACCATTACTATTATCTGATTTCAATGTGCATATTTTAGGAGAATGTACTATACTATATTTTAATACTTTAAATAGAAGTATTAATATAGTATATTCGGTAGTACATTCTAAAATATAGGGGAATGAATTGTACTAGAGTATTAGAATTATTCTCTGTTCACATTAGAAAGAAACAATCAAATTTATTTCCTCTTCCCTTGGTCTGATGACTCTCCCTGTCTGTTTCTAACAGGCAGATTTGAAGAATCAGCTGGGAGATGCTGGATACGTATTATTTGGAGTGGTGTTATTTGTTTGGGAACTCTTACCTACCACCTTAGTCGTTTATTTCTTCCGAGTTAGAAATCCTACAAAGGACCTTGTAAGTAAACCATTTTACATTTGTAAGAAAATGTCTCCTAATTCTGATCATGGAACCTGCAATTAGAACTTTTTCTTCATTTTTCAGAAGAGAGCCTCTTCCTTTTGTGGTGGTATGAAAAGTTTCCTTGACTATTTTATTGAGACATTCATTTCCCTTATCTTTTGAGGGAAAATGGTTTTCAGCTTAGTTTTATTTTACAAAAGAAATGAAAC